>NC_000004.12:109375926-109527441 GCF_000001405.40 Homo sapiens
TAGACAGGATGTGAATGGAGATCGGACTGGTGCCCAAACAGACTGCAGGCTGTGACATGCCGCCTCCCACTCCAAGGAGCCACTCAGACCAAGAATAAGGAATAAAACAGTTCCAGGGCTCTGGAAAATGTGTGAAGTGGGCAAACTTGGAGTTTGTTTTTCTCAGCTTCCAGGCTTGCGCCACCACCATCCTCAAACACTTTCCTACCCACTCACCCTACAGACATGTCCTTTTTTTTTTTTTTTTTTTTTCTGAGGCGGAGGCTTGCTCTTTCGCCCAGACTGGAGTGTAGTGGCGCAATCTCAGCTCACTGCAACCTCCGCCTCCCAGGTGCAAACTATTCCCATGCCTCAGACTCCTGAGTAGCTGGGACTACAGGTGCAGGCCACCACAACCAGCTAATTTTTGTATTTTTAGTACAGACAGGGTTTCACCATGTTGGCCAGGTTGGTCTTGAACTCCTGACCTCAAGTGATCTGCCCACCTAGGCCTCCCTAAGTGCTTGGATTACAGCTGTGAGCCACCGCACCTGCCCAGAGATATCCTCTTTTGATTCATTTAGTCAGATGTCTTTCCTTGAGTTCTTTTCAAATTAAGCTACATGATTTGTCTAATCAGACTTCCTCCAGTTTGAGCAATGACAAGTTTTCCATGAGTCCAGTTAATATATGCTCTGCTTCCAACTAAGGCAAAATACAACGTGCTGTGAGTTTAATCTCACTGCATTCCTATCGGGAACACATCCATTTAGGAAATAGAAATGGTCTCTCCCCCATCTTCAGGGTATCTGTAAAATGGAGGGGGTGGGAATGGGAGTGTGCTGCTTCTCTTTCCCACACTGGTGAGCAGTTCTGGTCTCAGCTGTCCCTTCCTTGCACTGCCATTGGCATCTAAATGGGCCACCAGGTAAAGGGCAGGTGAATCACAGAATCTGCCAGGTAGAATGCAAGTCTAAACTTCCAACTGAAGACCTTTATACCCAAGAGGTGGTCATCCGAGTTCTGCATAAACTTCTCGTGACAGAGAAGTAGTCGCTTAAAATAGTAGATTTGGGTTCTATAGTCAATTGTCTGGGTTTGAATCATGGTTCTACCAATTCTTAGCTGTGCGAATGGGGAAATTTATTAAACCTTTCTGTCTCATTTTCTTCACCAACAAAAAGAAAACCTACCTTATCATATTGCTGTGAATATTTAATGGTGTAATGATATATAGAGAGCACACAGTAATTACTGAAAATTTTTAACTATTACCGTTACTCCAAAGTACAGTGAGACTATACATTTCTTGCTTGGAAATTGTAATTCTACTAAAAGAATCTAAAATTATATTTGATTGTTCTTTCCTGACCTTGTTCATTCTTCCATTCAACAAGTATCTGTCATGTTCCTGCTGTGAGTATGTAGAGAGATGGGTGACTTGGAGGGTTAGGAAAGGTGCTGTATTAAATCAATTCATCAGGGTAGTCCTCAATGAGAAGGTGATATCTGAGCAATGATTTGAAGCAAGGGAGTTAACTACAGGTACTCCAAGAAAAAGAATGTTTCAGCAGCGCACAGATGCTATGGTGGGACCCACGTGGCATGTTCTGGGAACAAAAAGAGTCCACTGTGGCTGAAGCCCAGTGAGTCGGTGGGGCAGCAGTGAGAGAGGAAATCAGGAAGGTGAGCAGCAGGCCCTTGGAGCTGGTGGGTTTCTATCTGAGGGAAATCTACAGCCCCTGCAGGGATTTGAATAAGGAAGGGGATGATCTGACTTGTATTCTAAATGGATCACTCTGGATGCTAGTTTGAGAAAAGATTTGAATATCTTTCCTCTCCCCACCTCCTGCAGGCTGAGGGGAAAGCAAAGTAGATTCTTGCCATATTGTAGGAGAAAGACGATGGCGACTAGACCAGGGTGGTGGCAGTGGAGGGGATGAGGAATGGTCCGATTCTGGGTCTAAAGAAATGGGCCTCGAAAGCCACATGAAGAAAATGTATGTAGTACAAAAGCACAATCAAATGTATCAAATGTGGCTGGCAGGGCCAGTAAAGTGAGAACTGAGCACTGGATTAAACCACCGAAGATCAGGGCTGACCCAGACGAGAGAGATTCCAAGGACATGCTGGAAGCAAAAAATCTCACTGAAGTGGGCTTAAGAAGAATGAAAAGACTGTGTCCAGTCATGATGAAGCACTAGAGACTGAATTTACCCTCCCACCTTAAACACCTGAAAAACTGGACAAAATTCATGAAACAAAGAATTTTCAGTCAGTGGAAAACACAGCACAGGACAGTGATCCCTGAGAGCCAGGAAACAAACGAGGTGCTCCACATGACTGCCCAGCGAACTGCATAGAGATTCCAGCCACACTGTGCAGCGGGGGAAACCAAACAGTGCCCCAGGGTGAGGGACAGAGTTGAGAATTCAGGGAGAACAAGGCAGTGCAAGAATTCACAGAGCAGAATAGCACAGCAAAGAGGACTGCTCAGAGAAAGAGCTCTGGAGGGCTGCAGGGGTTCCCTGTAGAGGGGCTTCAGCTGAAGAAACTCCCCAAGGCCTAGGAGAGAAACAGAAAAGGAGCGAGAAACAATTCCCAGAGTCACACAGGACTGGAAATAATTCCAGAAGTAAGAATTGCATGTTTCAATGCTAATGGGAATTTTCAACAGAGAGGGAACAATTGATGATGTAGGAGAGGAAGGGGAGAATTGCTCAAGCAATGTCTCTGTGGGGGCAAGAAAGGTGCCTCCACAAATAGAGGTATGTACTTGAGATAGTTCTGTCACAGGCAAGAAGGTGGTACCTGTGGGTGGAGATGCTGAGTGGTGAGCAGATGCAGTGGTGATGCAGAATCCATGCAACTTCTGATATGATCACTTCAGTTTTCTCAGTTAAGCAGAAAGCAGGCGCATCAGCTTAGAAGGAAGATAATGAAGGAGATGCTGAGGAATTGAGGAGAGAGAAGGATGTGTGAAATATTCACTTAGGAGACCAAAATGAGGAAAAGTCCTAATGCAACCAGGAGCGTTTATATGTTTCTACGAGTGGCAGCATTAAGAGCCTATTTGGTCATAAATTTAAAGTAAGGACTTCCCGTGCGGTTGTGTTTCTCTCCTGCCATTTGCAGCTGCACAAGTGCAGGTGTGGGACAGTAAGGATTGGATTTCACATGGGTTGGGGATTTGCTAAGTGAATAAGATAAAGGGAGAGAGGGGCAAGCAAGCCATGCATCATCACAGTTGACTTTGAATGGAGTCCTTTTTGTTTTTTCTCCCTTGAACTGATATTAAACCAGATCCTCTCTCTGCCGTATTTGTGTTACTGAGTCTTTTCAACCTAAGGCCATTCTGCTCATATATTTCTATTCCATCACTCATCATTAAAAGCTATTCTTCCAACTCTGGATCAGTGAACTCTCTCTTCTTCCTAGTCACCACCAGAAATATTGAACAGGACAAAGTCAAGGGCAGGTTCTCTTGGTTCACCTCTAAAGACTTCTTGTTGGATTAACAATTTATTTGTCAACATCAAGCTTCGTAAATACATGTAACCAGCTTTTTGTTTAGATAACTCTACCATCATCAAATTAAATATCTCCATCTTTTTTCAGTGACATCAAGAGGGTTTATTAATTGCCTTGCCAAAACCAAGACATTCTGTATCTACAGCATTTCCCCACCTCTCAGTGTAATTTTTAAAAATGTTTTATAAAGTTAGTGTGGCACAACTTGTTAACAAATCCATATTTGCTATTAGCAGTTAATGTTTTGGATTTTTCCCCCCAAGTACTTTAAAACAAGATAGCACTCTTCTGGGTGGGCCAGCTATATTTGCTCAAAGTCGGAGACAGCAGAATTATGATGACTGATGACCAGACTACCTTTCCTGGAACAACCACATACCTCTTACCTCCAATCTTGAAAATTTATTTCAAGATTCACACGAGTTCCTCAAGCAGTGGGGGTCTAGGTACAAGTATGCTGGGAAGGCAGTGCTAGTTGCTTCACCAGTCTTTCCCTTCTTCTTACTAACTGGACTCCCAATTTTCTTTCTTTCTTTTTTATTCTATTTTATTTATTTTATTTTTTTTGAGATGGAGTCTCACTCTGTCACCCAGGCTGGAGTGCAGTGGCGTGATCTTGGCTCACTGCAACCTCTGCCTCCCGAGTTCAAGCGATTCTCCTGCCTCAGCCTCCTGAGCAGCTGGGATTACAGGTGCATGCCACCATGTGTGGCTAATTTTTGTATTTTTAGTAGAGATGGGGTTTCACCATCTTAGCCAGGCTGGTCTTGAACTCCTGACCTCATGATCCACCTGCCTTGGCCTCCCAAAGTGCTGAGAGTACAGGCGTGAGCCACCGCACCCAGCCCTGGACTCCCAATTTTGTCCTGGGCAACAATGTGCTAAGCTAAAAACAGAAAAAGGAGAAGGGTTTATATTTCTTAAAGTTTTGCTTGGCCGGGCGCAGTGGCTCACACCTGTAATCCCAGCACTTTGGGAGGCCGAGGCGGGTGAATCATGAGGTCAGGAGTTCAAGAGCAGCCTGGCCAACACGGTGAAACCCCGTCTCTACTAAAAATACAAAAAATTTGCTGGGCATAATGGCAGGCGCCTGTAATCCCAGCTACTTGAGAGGCTGAGGCAGGAGAATCGCCTGAACCCAGGAAGCGGAGGTTGCAGTGAGCCAAGATCATGCCACTGCACTCCAGCCCTGGCGACAGCGTGAGATTCTGTCTCAAAAAAAAAAAAGTTTTTGTTGCGAAGAGTCCATGTCACTGTTTAGGTAATGAGAAAAAAAGCAGGATTTTTGGGGGAAGTTTTGCATTTCTGATACTTATACATGGAAAACACATTTATCTTCATCATTTCTTCCCTCATGGAAATAGATGTGAAGCTGGAGGCTGTGAGATGGCAAATATGAGGAGAAAAGCTGCTTGTCCAGGATGGTGAAGTGGAAAGCTAGTGCAGCTTGGTGTGTTGTTGATGTTGTGGAGCTGCTGCTCCAGCCCTGAGCCGCCTGCCTGCAGACTTCTTGTTATGTGAAGACTACAAACCCCCTTTGGGCTAAGTCACTAATGCAGAGTTCCTGTTTTGTGCAGCAGAACTTGTACATATATACATGGATAGAAGCTGGAAAGCTGCCAGTCACAGGAGCAGCCCTAAGAATTGGCTGCTCTGTCTCCACCAGCTATCAATTGCTACATGGTTTGTCTCTCATGGTGTCTATTTATTTTTCCTGAATATTTATTTATTTTTCTTACTCTAACGACTTGCTTCCTTATCTAATCTTTCTCTGTTCTCTAAGTCAAACTTTCTACTTACTAGTAATTTCTGCTCTCGTGATTTTAGTTAACCACAGTCCACCCTGGCCTTTCCAGCATATCTTTACATCATGATTTTTACCTTGCAGCACCCACACTAATTTTCTCATTCTTTGTTATTCCAAATTCTGGAGAGGAGTATGACAGTCCTGTTATGTTTAGGCCACAGGCCAATCTATTGATCGGTCACCCCTGGGTCTGGTGTTCACCTCTAATCCAAGCAGCTGTGGTTTGGGGGACGAATGATTTTAGGAATCCTATAAAAATCATGGCCCTCTAAGGGCCCTTCTCAGCAAAGACTCTGGACAGATCAAGGCTGGCAAGAAGGGACAGGACAAGCATCATAATGTAGCTCAGGTCTGCAACACTGTACCAATAGAAAGCATAGCCACCCCTGCAGACCAAAGCCAATTAAAGTCCCATTTTAAATTATGCACATTTCAGAAAACATAACCTAATAAACTATGACTGGGAAATTCCAGGACTCAAGTCTTAATCCCAGTTTTTCTATTAACACACTATGTGAAAGTTTGAAGATCTCTTTGTGCCTTACTTTCTTCATCTGTAAAAATAGGGAACTCATATCTATTACCTCTTGAGGTTGTAGAGAGGAACAATAAAATTGATTTGCAAAGTGTTTTATTGCCATAAAGTGCTATGCTGAAAACAGCCTGTGTTTAAATAGCCTGATTTGTTACAGTATGTAATAAAGAGTGCTATTTAAAGAATACATTCTCAATAAATGCATTCTTAATTTTCTTTCTGTTGTTACTTTTGTGACGTTCACTAAAATCCAGGAAGAATACTCTGAGATGTTAAAGTCTTTATTCACACTAAATTTTTCCCTACCCAAAAAATAAAATTCCAGTCCCATAGTCTTAGTTTACTCGTCCACAATTCATTCAACTAACATTTAAGTATAACAACTCAATCTCAAACTTTATGCTTAAATTTATGGAATCCAAAGTAATGAGTACAGCCAGTACTGACTTTTGAGTGTCACTTATGCTCACCTCTTCCCAGCTCCATCTTCAGTAATGTTGATAGCTCGAAATCAGCTATTTTCAGGGTATTTACACCACAGAAATGAGCAAATGTATAAATGGGGTCTTCAACTTTCTCCTTTCCAGAGGACTGGTTATTAAACATTTACCAGCACACCAGTGGATTTCATGTACCTAGAACTGAAAAACGCACAGATACAAACACAAACACACATCATCATCATCATCATCAACAATAAAAGCAGCAAAAATAGGCCAGGCGCGGTGGCTCACGCCTGTAATCCCAGCACTTTGGGAGGCTGAGGTGGGTGGATCACAAGGTCAGGAGATCGAGACCATCCTGGCTAACATGGTGAAACCCCGTCTCTACTAAATATACAAAAAATTAGCCGGGTGTGGTGGCGGGCGCCTGTAGTACCAGCTACTTGGGAGGCTGAGGCAGAAGAATGGCGTGAACCCGTGAGGAAGAGCTTGTAGTGAGCCGAGATCGTGCCACTGCACTCCAGCCTGGGTGACAGAGAGAGACTCTGTCTCAAAAAAAAAAAAACAAAAACAAACAAAAAAAAACAAACAACAACCAAAAAACCCAGCAAAAATAGGCCTAAAAAGCATCAGAGAGATTAATTTTTAAGATAATATACTGTTTCTTCTTTAAAAACTTTTTTATAGGAAAATATTTGCTACAAGTGGATCCAGACATTTTCTTAGCCTAAAGAAAAGACTCTCAAACTTTAGCATGCCATCAGAATTACCTGAAGAGCTCATCAAAACAAACTGCTCAACTCCAAACCTTGAATTTCTGATTTAGTAGGTTTTGGATGGGGCCTGTTAATTTACATCTCTGACAATTTCCCAGGTGAACCTGATACTACTGACTTAAATGTATGTAGGGTAACACAAAACAAACCAAAAACAAAAAGAACGATTGGAGGATTGCACTGATAAATATGAATTGGACCGGTGAAAATCTAGTGAAATGTACAGGATTTTTATGAACCTCTGAAAACTATATGAAATGTCAGTTTTAGGATGCTGGCTATTCTAAGATTGCCTTGTTTCTGGGCCTCTTCACAGTAAGTGAGGTTACTATTATTTGTTCTGATAGATATAAAATGCTGTGAATTTGGAGTCAGAGTTTTTACTTCAACAGAAAATCACTTTGCCTCATTGGGCTTCAGTTTCATCATCCGTTAAAAGCGAGAATTAAATTTCATGTTCACAGTTCTGTGTTAATCAGCTATAAAATGAAAAAGAATTCACTCACAGGTTCCTTAACTAATGAAGTTCTGTTGTAAAAATAATAACAATTATAATACATCAGAAAATAAGAAACCAGAATCTCAGATCCCAAAGACATGGATGAACAGTACCTAAAGCAGAGGCAGCTCACAGAATGGAGTTTGGAAATTGGGTTATCCTTGGAACCCAGTGAAGCTTTTGGAACCCAGTGAAGCTTTTCAACCCAGTTACTTTGCTGCCATCTCATCAGCAGGTTCATGGGTCCCAAAAATCTAGTGTTGTAACATTACCATGACCTTGCAAGTCTTCATCTCTGCCTCTATTAATGTCTCTCTCAGCTTCTCCTTCTACTACCAAACGGTCTCTACTCTCCTTTTCTCATAGCTTCTGTATTTCCGTGTAATGTAACTATTGTATACCTCCCAGCTTCTGCCACCATTTTGATGGCAGCAGCAGCCTGTCTAGAGTGGCCACTGTCATGACGTTGGCTGCAGTGTGGGAGGTACAGCTGGGGCTGTGCACTTCATGCAGCCGGTGGGAACTGGGAACAGGTGGAAGCCCCACCCCCTTCTGTGTTGGCAGGGCAGGAGCTTCACACTCCCTGGGCACAGCTGCAGCCTCCCAGCTATGGCTTCAGACCCAGGTCTCCCTGTGCTCTTGGGGTCTGGGAGCAGGCAGGAACCCCGCCCTCCCAGGTGCAGCTGCAGCCACCCAAGTCATGGCTGCGGACCTGGGCATCTCTGTACTGTTGGGGGCCCAGGAAGACCCCCTGCCCCCATAGGCTCAGAAATGCCTGCTCCTGCTGCCTGGCCTCTCCCTGCTCCCGGCACCCACTTCAATCTCAGAGCAAAGTTGAGGCTGAGCCTGGGTGCTGTGACAATCTGGACAATCTCTCTGCAGCGTGTGTGCGTGCTTGGAGCAGCACTAACATGCCAGCTTCCTTCCACCTCGGCCCACTCTGGACTTTGGGCACCAATGAGCATGAGAGGGAGACTGAGTCAGGGGTAAGGGCAGCTTGGCATGGGCCTGCAGGCACCCCTTGGCATGAACAGCCTGGGCACCATGAACAGCAGCAGAAGGCAGACAGGCTCCTGGATGAAAAGGGATGGGTCCCCAGTGAAGCCCCACCTTCAAGCCAGGGAAGGCCTGAAGCTTGGAGGCCAGGCTGCCAGCCCAAGGACAGAAATGGGAACTTATAGTGCTTTTTCTGGCCTGCCCATGGCCACCCATGGACCAATCAGCATGCACCTCCTCCCTTATGAAGCCCATAAAAACCCCAGAATCAGGAGACATTGGGATAGCCAGATGCAGAGAGGAGCTGCCCACTGCAGGGTTTCCTCTCTGTTAAGGGCTGAACACTAGTCAGGACACCCTGGCTACAGAGAGCAGCTACCCACTGTGAGTCTCCTCTGAGCTGTTCCATTGCTCAATAAAGCTCCTCTTCACCTTGCTCACCCTCCAACTTGTCCACATACCTCATTCTTCCTGGGTGCAAGACAAGAATGCGAGACCCACCAAATGGCAGGGATGAAAGAGCTGTAACACAGACAGGGCTGAAACATGCCCCTTGCTCACCATATTGCGGGTGACAAAAAAAAGAGAAAAGCTGCAGCCCTTCAGAAAGCCCAGACCTAGGAGCTCCCCAAGCCAGGGCTGTGACACTCTCTTTGGGGCTCTGCAGTTCCTGACATCTCCAACCTTCCAGGCGCCACCGTGTTGCCCCATGCCAGCCATAGAAGCTGCTTGCAGGATGCCCCATCCAGCCACAGCCTCACCCAACCTTCCAGGTGCCACCATGTCCCCCCGTGCCAGCCATGGAAGCTGCTTGCAGGGTGCCCAGTCCAGCCACAGCCTCACAGGGAGCTGGCGCTCATGCTGGCATCTGAAGCTGCCCGCCCCACCGCAGCCAGTATGCCTGGCTGTGTGCAGTGACCAGACCCCACACTTGCTCCCTCACATACCTCTCACCACTCCACTCATCCTTGGCAGGCATGGGATCCAGGCCAGTAACACGAGCCAAGCACAGCCTTTCAGGCTGAGTGGTCCCAGTGGGCCTGAGCAAATCTCAGGCAAAGGCACAGCTGGCCACAGAGGTTTCTAGCTGGTGAAGTGACACCCAAGAATCCTGTAACAATTTCATTTTTGCCATCTCTATAAGCTTTGCATTCAAAGCCTAATAAAGGATGAGTTTAAATCTACCTTGTTTAATGCTACATTCACAATGCCTGGTATAGGGCTTGGCACATAATAAGTATTTTTTGAATGAATGAATGAATGAATGCCTCATGTAAGTCAACTCATAGACTGGCCCACTCCAGACCTATTTATATTTATAGCCAAGAGGGCAAACTTACACATTATGGAATTTACCCAATTACACATAACAAACCTGAAAATCAGCCTAGGTCAGCAGGAGTCTATGGGTAAGGCTGAGAACATGAATATTTATCCACAGCCATTCACCTTTGGACATTCTTTATCTTATTTAGGCTCAGGAGAGAAAAAAAATTGGATTAGTTGAGAAGAGGGGTTGATAAAGACCACCCTTACCAGCTGTCTAGGATCATCCAAAAACTTCCACCAGCTGAGTTAGTTTTCAGCCAGGATGTCAGTGAACAATTTTTTGCAAAGACAGGTTCCCCTTAGAGCAGATTCTGAAACAAAGTTTTGAGTGCTGCAGTTGATTTGGATGTCATCCCAATGAAGAAAGAAAGAAATGAGACACGAGGAAGAAAAGTCAGCTAATTAAGATGTGTTTTCACTCTGGCTGTGTCACCCACTCTGGGCAACTGGAACTTAATTGCTCTCTGAAACTCTGCGTGTCAAGTCTCAGAGTTATCCCACCAGAGAAGTGAAAGAACTGGGACACATACACCTCCTCCCATCAGTTACTGGTGGGGCTGGGGGTCTGGGAAGGGGTCATTAGATTCCTGGCTTACCCAGCCTGCCCATGTTGCCAGAGGATACCTTGATCAGGTTGTCAGAAGCCAGCAATAGTAGTGAATTACAATGACAAGCCAGAAAGGAAATAGGCCAGGCACTGACAATGATTATTACAGACTCTCTTCCACCTTATGGTCATGCCTGAGAATTCACTGCCCCAGAATTTTAGAATTCCAGGAGACAGCATAACTCTTTTTGTTCCTTAAGTCTCTGACCCACAACACTTATACACAGCAACAGAACCATCTCTCAAAATCCCCCCTCCCCAGCCCCCAGAAATGTTAGTGGCAGCACAGCTGCCAACCTCTTTTTTTTTTTTTTTTTTTTTTAATTTAACGAGAGGCGAATTTAACAGGCAAGAAGGGGCAAGAAGGAAGGGAGAAGGAAGAAGCTCCCCTGTACAGAGACAGAGGGAGGGGGGCTCCAAAGCCGAGAGAGGGAACCCCACCTGCCACAGATACCAGCTAGGTGTACATACAGAGGCTGCAGGAGGCGGTGTCTGATTTGCATAGGGTCCATGGGATTGGTTTGACTAGGCATGTCATTCACATAGCCCGCGAAAAAGCTGGCCCTCCTGCCCTAGCCTTTTAATATACAAATGCAGGGCACCGTGACGTTCTACACACGTGGGGATACGTGGGGGCGGCCATGTTGCCAAAAACATGTGGGGAAAGGGCAAGAAGGCCACTGGAATCGCCATGTTTGGGTGGACCCAGTTTCTAATGGCTGGCGTTTGCATATCAAAGGTTGCCAGCCTGGCTCTAGAGCCAGGGCTTTACAAGAAACTTTTGCGGAGATGCTTTAAAAAAAGGAAAACTTAGGGCTGGGCACGGTGGCTCACGCCTGTAATCCCAGCACTTTGGGAGGCTGAGGCAGGCGGATCACCTGAGGTCGGGAGTTCAAGACCAGCCTGACCAACATGGAGAAACCCCCGTCTTTACTAAAAATACAAAATTAGCCAGGTGTGGTGCATGCCTGTAATCCCAGGCAGCTACTCGGGAGGCTGAGGCAAGAGATTCTCTTAACTCTGAGGCAAGAGAATCGCTTGAACCTGGGAGGCAGGGGTTGTGGTGAGCCAAGATCGTGCCATTGCACACCAGCCTGGGCAACAAGAGGGAAACTCCATCTCAAAACAAAAAAGAAAAAACAAAAAAGAAAACTTCCCAAGGACCCCTTTTCCTGTCTATCTGCCTAAAATAATTTCTTAATAACTCCTACAACATTCCCCCATGTGGAGATGCCACACTAACTGCTGTTAGGGGGTTTTGGGCAACGACTCCTTCTGGCTACTTCCTGCTGAAAAGGGGCATCAAATGGGGAACAGCAGCTAGGGCTCCTCCTAGGGTGGATCTAAGGGTCCTCCGAAGAATGGCATGTCCATGTGTAGTTAGTTTACAGAACCATTTGGAGTTTGCTTCTAGGCGAGAAGAAACAATTTGAGGTATAGTATTGTGTATACAGGGTCCAAATATCAATACAAGAAGACAAATAAGCAAGAGAGGTCTTAATAAAGGGGTTAACCAATTCCATAAAGAAGACTGGAATTTATTAGAGGGACTGTGGCCACTCAGGGCTGAAGCCGGCATTTTCCCTGAGCCTGTCAATAATTTTGATTTGATTTTTAAGTACCTATAGATTTTCCTTTACTTTACTAGAGGTGTTAATCCAAAAGCCAGCTGCCAACCTTCTGAACCCCACTACAAAATCACAGTAGAAAATAAAAATCACTATAGCAATTGCCATAAGGTAATACAATTTTCTGCTTACTTGCACTCCACCCAAGCTTCTCCCCTTCACCCATATACACCCATACTATGAACTCATTGAGAAAAAGTCCTCTCTGTTATTCATTTTTAAATCCTGCAAATCTAAAACAGAATTGGGCAGGTAGTTGGCATTCAATCAGTGTTTCTTAAGTGAATTAACTAAATTGACAAGCCTAGTTTAGATCCGTGGCATCACAAAGTCTATCCTCAGAACCCCACACATGCTTTCCTAGCCATTTAGTTCCAAAAAAGAGCATGTTCACTACATAATTGGGACTGACTACTTTGCCAAATTCAAGCATCATTTCTGATACTTGAGAACATTGCTGTTTTTCAGTCAAAACTGTGTTGCATACTTTACTAATTACGAACTGTGAAACTATGGCATTACAGTTACCATTCTGGGGACAAGAGAGAAAAAACACAAGATTTTTATTTCCTGAACTCCTAAAAGTATCTGTTCCTAGTGCCCATGGTATGGGAGTAACACATCTATTACTAAAGGCACCGAGTACACTCAAGGGAATAGAACTGATTTTTATTTTGTCACTCACATTTACAGGTATCTATTTATTTATGTTTCTCTGGTTGAATTCCTCTTGAGGAGTTTACAATTTAATGTGTGCCTTCTTCTTTTGTAATTCTCCAAAGTACCTAGTAGAGTGTCTGGCACATAAAGGATTGTCAATAAACCGTGGCTGA
This sequence comes from Homo sapiens, assembly GCF_000001405.40. Taxonomy (NCBI): domain Eukaryota; kingdom Metazoa; phylum Chordata; class Mammalia; order Primates; family Hominidae; genus Homo; species Homo sapiens. Next base: position 109,388,890 of record NC_000004.12, read on the forward strand.
TGGGTAGAATCGCCCTGCTAAGTAGGTGGAACAACCCTAAACAAGCATTAATTGCTAGAATTTCTTGAGTCCTGAAAGCAGTCAGTGTCTAAAACCTGGTAAACAGGCTGCTCTGGCCACATGAGTGCTCAGGAATGACTAAACACTTCATTTCTGCAGCCACTGAATTTGTTTTTTTAAAGTCATCTCCAATGGCAAATAAACATATAGTGACCTTAATCTTTCATTTTTATGACCCACTGGTATATAATAAACAGTAACCATAAGGTAGGCTCAATGGTTAGTAATAGATAGCGTAACAGCATTCATTCAAAAGGTTGGCACTGAGAGACTCAAGCTGTGGAAAACAGAACTGAACTCTGTGAGTGCCTATTGGTTAGCACAAGTGAGGTTTCAGTAGAGACATTTGCTCTCAACCTCTCAAAACATTAATCTCTTTGCTTTTTAGGTCTTCTTTTGGTTACCATGAGTAAAATCAGAAGCAAATGTGTGGAGTAAAATAAAAATTAGGAACTCTAATTTCTTAAGAGTAACTCCTGCATTGTGATTTGATAGGGTCAGGAGCTAGAAGGAAGGATTCAATTTTCAGCAGCTCTGAAAGCTTTGCAGCCCGCCATGTGTTTCAGCTTGGCCTTGATCGCAGCCGTCCCTGTTTGCTATGTGGCAGACAGCTGTTCTCTCCCGGCTCTCCGGGGTCATTCCTCCACCTCACACACCAATCCGTGTGTGAAATGAGGCACTAGCAGGAACTGCAGCCCAACATGAGCAGTAGTCTTTGGCTGGAAGGCTCAATATGAGACCAGGACTGATCATCAAAGTGTCTCCCCAAGGGACAGATAAAAAAGACAGGCAGAAAACAAAATTTCCTACTATATAAGACTACCAAGAAATAAAGCTTACAATATGCCACAAAAAATCTACTTCTACTTTCTATCATATCTGGTTCTATTTTCAGCTGTTACAGCTTTCCTGTCACCTGCTGGCTCTTTCTGAAATAAAGATACCAGGAGACTGAACCACTGTGTGGCTTATGATTGAGAGCTCCCTGCTAGAGCACACAAATCACACCTGGCTGTGAGATGCCATTGCATCTAGCACATGACTGCTGTTTGTAAAATGTCCAGTCCTCATTATCAGGCTCAGCAGTCTCACCACCAGACTTTTAATTAATATTTTAAGCATCTGTGAGGGTGTGCATGCCCATGTGCATGTTTATAATACAGCGTCCAGTTTGCTTTCATTTTATATTTTCTGTTTCTGGAAAATGATGATTAAAATGAGGTAGAAAGGACTGTAAAGCCCAAAATACAGAAACTCACCTTTTTCCTTAGAATGACTTATTTTATCATTTTGAATGATCTAGAGCCTAGTTAGCCATCTCTCAGAAACTGAATAGGGAATGACTACTGCAACTGGGAGGTTGGACTGGTGACCTTCCCTGTTCCTCCCAAATTAGCAATTCTATGATTGTCATGTGCTGGGCAAATTGCTATGAAAACATTTTTCCAAGAAAATTATCAGGCTCAAAAGCAGCTGATTCATACTGATAACTGCTAATACAATTGGTAAATTTTCTGTTTAGACAGGAAAAGAAGGATAGAGAAGAACAATTCCACAGGACTTGAAAGTAGAGAAATCTATTCAGGCAGTGACTGAATCTGTATCATAGTTTCACATGTTCAAAGCTGTGTTTACATGGTTGAGTTGCAGTTTTCATTATAGGTCCCATTTTCAGAACTTTGTAATTCATGCCTAACTTGACATTACTGACTCTAACCCAGGAAGAAATGTTTTTATGAAACACTGTGAAATTTATTTTATTAATTTGCTTTAGAGATGAGAAAACTAATACAAAAGCAAAAAGCATAAAGATCATTTTACATTTCAAGAAGCCTCTGTAACATGTCTAGTTTCACTAACATACAGGTGACACTTAAGTCACATTTTCAATTAAGAAAGGAAAGGGGTACATAATCACAGCATTGGCCACCCAAGGGGAGTGCAGAACAAGTCCTGCTGTAAGGACCCCCTAACCCAAAGCATTCTTATGCTGGTGAAACCTATGAAAGTAAAAAATCTAGGGCAACTTTAAAGAGTGAAGAAAGTTTTGGTTTTTGTTTTTTGTTTTGGTTTTGGGGTTTTTTTAATGCAACTAACCAGTCACAGAAGTAAGGGAGAAGAGGGGAACACTTGCTAACTGCTAGTCCCAAACCTGGAGCAAAGCAAATTTAAAAGGTAACTAACTGTATGGACTGTTTATAACAGTCTTGAATGATTTTTAGCACCAGCTGATAGGATCAGCTTCCTCACCCTATAATGATGCTTCTGACTATCTACTCATAGCACAGGTCTTGGACAATTACCCAGTTGAAAATTATTGCTAAAATAGACCATTGAGCATTGACACCACATCAGAGACTTTAAAATACATTTTCTGTCATCTAGAAGGGTAAGTGCTTACAGCAGCAGAGAGAATTAAATAATTGATATTATTACTCCTATTACGCAGATAAGGAACCTGAAGTTCAGAATGGTTGCTTAAGGTGCCCAAGCCATACTGCAAATATTGACTGATATGGAATTTGAAACTCCATTTGACTGACTCTAAAGCACTTGTGCTTCCCACTACACCAGAAGACCTTTCAGCCACATCTTCCTGTTAAAGAGAGAGCTCTGCTCTCCCTTGTTTTGTCACAACTGAGAGGAATGGATCTGCATTCCTTTGAAGTGCATTGCTCTTAAATTAATATAATGAGTGGAGACTCCTTTTCTTCTAATTAAAAACAATAACTAAAATATAAGAATCTAAACATCAGAAATGAAGGTATTAAAACAGTTGTTCATTGAGATATGGAGGGCTTTCTATTGGCAGAATGTTTTGAGGTACAGAAGAGCTGCTTAATTTTTAGTATCATTTGTTAGGTAGTAGCCCTTAAAGTAAAAACTTTCCAGGTAAATCTTCATTTGATAATGAGATTAATCAACTACATTGAAAATTGCATTATCACCAAATCACAAATAGGAATCTAGATGACAGCTTCAGTGGGTAGCATAGTTTTGATGACTTGGGGCAGGATTGAAAGAGCACACTGGGCAAGGGATCAGGATATCAGGAGGATGTGGGATCTACTCTTGACTTTCTGTGGACTACCACAGTCAAATTTCCTAAGTTCAGTACATCTAAAGTTTTTGTTCTGTACAATGCACTAAATAATCTCTAGTTCCACCTAGCTATAAATATCTATGATATATTCAACGTATCCACATGCTGTATAGAAGTTTTGGTTACAGACCACCTTTGAATAGTATTGTTTTTTAAAAAAGGATGATTTGAAAAATTCATCACTGACACTTTGATTATATCCACAATCCAATGATACTGTATTGTCTAGCTTAAATCAATGAACATTCTCTTTTATGTTTTAGTCTACTCAGAGCTAGACATAATATAAGGTATACTTACAGTTCCACATGGCTGGGGAGGCCTTACAATCATGGCGGAAGGCAAGGATGGGCAAGTCACATCTTACATATATGGCAGCAGGCAAAAAAATAGAATGAGAACCAAGCAAAAGGGGTTTCTCCGTATAAAACCATCAGATCTTGTGAGACTTATTCACTACCACAAGAACAGTATGAGAGAACACCTCCCATGATTTGATTATCTCCCATTGGGTCCCTCCCACAACATGAGGGAATTATGGGAGTTACAATTCAAGATGAGATTTGGGTGGGGGCACAGCCAAACCATATCATTCTGTCCCTGGCCCCTCCCAGATCTCATGTCCTCACATTGCAAAACCAATCATGCCTTCCCAACAGTCTCCCAAGGTCTTAACTTATTTCAGCATTAACTCAAATGTCCACCGTCCAACGTCTCATCTAAGACAAGCAAGTCCCTTCTGCCTATGAGCCTGTAAAATCAAAAGCAAGTTCGTTTCTTCCTAGATACAAGTGGGGTACAGGCAGGAAGACTGCTTGAGGCTGGGAGTTCAAGACCAGCCTGAACAGCACAGTGAGATCCTGTCTCTTAAAATAAAGTAAAATAAAATAACATTCTCTGAAATGGTTCAGGAAAAAATACACATGAATATATATTTGTATATATGGAGTTATTTGTATCCATATATGTGTGTGTAGATGTATATATACATTTACAGAGAGAGCTAATTATAAAAACAAATGAAGCAAAACATAAGTTGTTGGTAAATCTGGGCGATAGGCATATTAGAGTTCCTTGACTATTCTTGCAGCTTTTTATGAAGTTTGAAATTAATTTAAAATAAAATTATCAAAAAACGTTGAATCAGAACAAACTTTTTATAAACCACTCTATTAAATACGTTATGGGTAAATATCTATTGTCCTATATGCCCAACCAATTCACCGTCCCAATATATCCTATCTTCTGTGAATAATATCCTCCTGTGTGTGTTTTTTTGTTTTTGTTTTTGTTTATTTTTTTGAGACGGAGTCTCGCTCTGTCGCCCGGGCTGAAGTGCAGTGGCACGATCTTGGCTTACTGCAAGCTCCGCCTGCCGGGTTCACGCCATTCTCCTGCCTCAGCCTCCCGAGTAGCTGGGACTACAGGCGCCTGCCAACACGCCCGGCTAATTTTTTGTGTTTTTAGTAGAGACGGGGCTTCACCCTGTTAGCCAGGATGGTCTCGATCTCCTGACCCCGTGATCCGCCCGCCTCGGCCTCCCAAAGTGCTGGGATTACATGCGTGAGCCACCGCGCCCGGCCCCTCCTGTGTTTTTAACCTGCTCCTTTTCTTTCTCCCTTTATCTCTGACTCAGAATATTTTATTCCGTGTTCTAGCCATGTGAATGCCATGTCCTTACAAGACATGGCTACAGCTGCTTGGGCTGTGGGTAAACACTCGACCTAAGATGAGCCAATCTAACAATTTCTCCACGATTTTACACTGGGTCACAAAGGAAACCCAAACCTGTTATTCTTTGGTGGTTGTCCTTGTCTGGATTATCTCAAAATCTCACTCTGAAACAAGGATTTGGATTCCATCAGTTTATTTGGGAGCTGATCCCAGGAAGCATGGTAAGAGAGTGTGGAAGTGAGAAAGGGAAAGGAGAAAGCAATAAGAAAAGATGTTCAGTCCTGCTGGGCACCCTCTAAGAGGCCTATAGAACAAAACTCACAATGCACTCCCTGCAGTATAAGGAAACGTATTTATGCACACATTCCCATCATCTGTGGCTGAGGGTTACTCCTGGGCCTATTAACCACCTGGCACTTTTGTCCTACCATCCCAGCCCATTTCCCCCAGCCCCTAGCCAGAGAACGTCCTCAGGCAGAAAGATGTAGGTGCTTGAGGTAGAAGGCCTGGGACCCATAGATGAACAATTCTCCAACAACAAGTGACCTCAGAGATGGGCCGAGGGCACATGTTTAGGGCAGCAGCAGTGTCTGGTACAGTGGTTAACAGTGGAGGACTCAGGCAGTTGTCAGTGGGCCATGCTTCCTGCCACATGGAGGAATCTGGTCTACAGTGACAGGGATGGAGTAAATTTGCAGAGAAAGAAACAGAGACAAAGGTGCTGACAGCAATTGAAGACCTGGTTCCAATTTTTCTTGAGGCCCAAGCCACAGCTTTGCCTGTTCAACCTTTTCTTGGATTCAGTGAGTAAATAAAATCACTTTCATATCTCAACAAATTTGAGTTGAGTTCCTGTCACATAACCAAAAGCCATGTATTAAACTTAAGATATTGTCATCGACATCCCTGTGATGAGATTCCAGTACTGTCACCCTAAAACCCCATCATATAAATATGATCAGAGTAGAGTAACAATTATAAAAACGTCACCTCTAATCTCTGTATTTTTCTCAGTAGCAAGGTTTTCTTTTACTTATTTTTAAGTTGGGACGATTTTTAAATTGCCTCAAATATGTTCTTTATTTATTCATGACTACATATATCTTTGTACAACCAAAACTAATCAGACTTGGTAAAACATTCTCCATCTATCTTGAGGATAATTTTGTGGAACAAGTATTAAATAGTGTCTGTTTTTAGAAAGGACTTGACATTTTTGAAAGAAATGTGTTTACTGGGTATAAATTTTACACTAACTGAAAAAATGTCTGGTGGTAAAAGAAATCTAAAAGGAAGTGAAATACAATTCAGCCTAGAAAAACAACTCAAATAATTTATTTTGGGGGCAGGAAACAAAAACATATTTATTTCCTGATCCTGAAAATACAGCCGTGTTTTGAGACCAAGGAAGATGGATGATTTTAATGTGCAGCTAAGTTGAAAAAAATGAAAAAGAAAAAATATCAAGATATATGCAACACACACGCTTACTTTATAGACAACCCATTAAGAAACAGTCCCCAGCACACATTTTTACATTTCTCATGAGATTTTGGAATTTGTGCTGCAAAAGCATATGTGGAATATGTGCAAGTTAAGACACAGTCGAATCAATAGTACAGGAATGCACGCCATGGGGTGACAGTCATCACCAGGCTGTCCGTATCTCCCACAGGGGCTATTTAACAATGAAGAGTCTATTGTTCAAACTCATTTTTCCTTCCTAAAATAATATTTCAAATGATTATACAGGATATTTTAATATATAAGAAATACCTTAAAAGCAATAATTGTAGATAGTAACAGTTTAAACAAGAAGCTCTGTTTCATGAGGTTTTCACAGACCAGTCATTCTCTTTCCTTTTTAATTTGCATCTTATCTATTTCATTATACACAAACAGGAAATTGAGAGTTTAATTTTGGAAATACAAAATAGCCTTACTAGATTATTTATATCAAAGCAATCATCTGAATAAAATTTATTTTGATAGGTAACTCAAAAGCAAGTTGTTTTCCTGAATTATCAGGAGAGCTCTCAAATTTATAATTCAATGGTCCCCAACCCCTGAGCCACTGACGGTACTAGTCCATGACCTGTTAGGAACCAGGCCGCACAGCAGGAGGTAAGCAGCGGGCAGGACAGTATGACGGCCTGAGCTCCGCCTCCTGTCAGATCAGTGGCTGCATCAGATTCTCACAGGAGCGCGGACCCTACTGTGAACTTGCACATGCGAGGATCTACGCTGCAAGCTCCTTATGAGAAGCTAACTAATGCCTGATGATCTGAGACAGAACAGTTTCATCCTGAAACCATGCCTCACACAGTTTGTCTTCCACGAAACTGGTCCCTGGTGCCAAAAAGTCTGGGGTCTGCTGGAATTCATTCTGTCAGAAGAGATATAGCCTGAATATAATTTTTACTGTATTATTCTTTGAATATAGTGAATGATAAAAGTTAATGCCTACCTCTTATTTTATAGACAGCCAATACAAACATGGTTCTCATTTCTCTTCTTTATTTTCCACTTCTTGGTGCAAGATACCTAGATTTTCTGTTGGAAAACAGTATAGAGTGGTGTTAAACACAGGAGTTCTAGAATCACAATAACTTACCCTCTATATGCTTCAGTTTCCACATCAATAAAACTGGGATCTTAAGAGTACTTTGATTATAAAGTTGTTGTAAGGATCAAATAAGATAAATCTAGTAAAACACTTAGAAAGTATTTGAAAACAGGGTCTTGAAGAAATATTTGTACACCTATATTCATAGCAGCATTATTCACAATAGCCAAAGGTGGAAACAACCCAATGTTTATCAACAGTTAAACGGATTAAAAAAAGAATGTATGTGATATACACATAGGATGAAATATTGTTCAGTCCTAAAAAGGAAGGAGGCTGGGTGGGGTGGCTCATGCATGTAATCCCAGCACTTTGGGAGGCCGAGATGGGAGGATCGCTTAAGGCCAGGAGTTCAAGACCAGCCTGGTCAACATAGTGAGACCCTATCTCTAAAAAACAAACAAACAAAACCCCACAGAAATGGTGAGATTTCTCTTGGCCAGGAACAGTGGCTCATGCCTGTAATCCTAGCACTTTGAAAGGCTGAAGTGGATGGATCACTTGAGGTCAGGAGTTCAAGACCAGCCTGTTCAACATGGTGAAACCCCATCTCTACTAAAAACACAAAAATTAGCTGGGTATAGTGGCACATGCCTGTAATCCCAACTACTTGGGAGGCTGAGGCAGGAGAATCACTTGAACCTGGGAGGTGGATGTTGCAGTGAGCCAAGATCACACCACAGCACCCCAGCAAAAAAGAAAAAAAAAAAAGAAGGAAATTCTGATGCATGCTACAACACGGATGAAACTTGAGAACATTCTGCTAAATTAAATAAGCCAGTCATAAAAAGACAAATACTGTATAACTTCACTTATAAAAAGTTACCTACAATAGTCAAACTCAGAAAAGAGAATGGTAGTTGTCAGGGGATGGGGAATAGAAAGTTACTGTTTAATGGGCAGAGTTGTGTTTTACAAGATGAAAAATTCTGGAGATTAGTTGCATAACAATGTATATATACTTAACACTATTGAATTATACACATAAAAATGGCTAAGATGGTCAATTTTATATGTATTTTACCACAATAAAAAAGAAAAAAATGGAAAACAACTTTTTAATAAGATTTTATTTTACCTTCAAACAAAATCAACTCCCCACTTATGGCATAAAGAGCTTCAATAGAAAAAGGCTATTGTTTTTCTCTTTGTTTTTGAAATTGTCTGATTCAGGATCAGGCTCTTTATATGTCCTATAATATCAGGTAGATATTTAACAAATACAGTAGCAAGCCTCTGGGTTCAAATGGAAGCAAGCAATTAACTTTTTTCTAGGGTTCTTCAGGGGGCCCTGGGTGGGGACAAGTCCTGTGAGAAAAGAAGTGCCTGAAATTAGATATGCAAGCAGAGATCACAAGCATAAATGCTATACTCTCCACACTGTGGGATGGCACTGTAAAAATTGGCAGCCAACCTGTTAACTGTTGTAAATGTAAATGAGGAATGCTACTACAGATTCTGGTTCTTGGTCCAGTGGTAGGTCACTGTAAACTCTCCACAGGCCATAACAAAAAGAGTAAAAAGAATAAGAAGTGGCCATATTCAAGCACAAGAAGAATAAATAATATCCACCAGACCTTTGGTATTCAAAGCTCACATCAACTATTCTGACAGCAGGGGTACTGCCAGGAGCTACAGTGATACTGAGTCATATAATATGACACAAAGAACACAATAAAGTAACCTAACCATTGGGGAAGGGGCTATAAATCCCAAATATCTTGGAGTAAACTTAACAAGAAATATGCAGTGCTGACACAAAGAAAAATACAAATTTTATTGGATAATCTAAAAGACGTTCTAAATAAATGGAGCAAAATACCTTGTTCTCAGATGAAAATAATTGATGTTTTAAAATTTCAAATCTCCCAAATTTCATTTATAAATGTAATATAATTCCATTCAAAATTCCAACCCCAAAACTATGTAACAAAAGAATAAATAGAAGAATTTAAACTATTGGGCAAAATATGTAGACAACTTAATTCTGGCATGATACTAGACAGAGAGATCAATGAAAAAGATTCCAAATCCAGTGACACATCCAAAATACATACAGATTTAGAATTAGTGAAGTGCTTTTTTAATCAATAGAGAAAGGGTAGATTTTTAATAAATAACTAGTTTAAAATTTTGTTAATTCTGTAAAAAGAAAGTTAGATTCCTTACCTAACACCACATGTTATCATATATTTGTGTATTTCCTCTGTGGTTTCAATCACATATGGTGAGAATGTGATCAATGCTTTTCTTGTGTAAATTTTTATTTAAAAAAAAGATAAAAAGAGAAATCAGATGACCAATATAACTTTGAAAAAACATTCAACTCGTTATAATTTAAAAGTGCAAATTAAAATAATAAGATATGAATTTGGCCCATCAAATTGGCATTTTAAAAAATGATAGCACAAATGCCAATGAGAGTTCAAGGAAGGGGGCATTTCCATTAACTGCAGGTGAGAATGCAAATTGGTATAATCTTCTAAGGACCAATTTGGCAATGCGCTTCCACAATTTTTTTTTAACAAGTTCAGACCTTTTTACCCAGCTTCCACTTGCAGAAATATGTTTAAAAAATAATAAGGACTTCAATATCTCTAAATATTATGAACTATGTAACCTTAAATTCTTCCTCCTGAAAAACACCCAGAAATGTTGAATTTAACATAAACTTCTTTTTAAAATGCTGGGGAAAAGAAGAATGAGGAGGAGGAGGAGGAGGAGAAGAGAAAGAGGGAGGGAGGGGGTGGAGAGAAGGAACAGAAGAGTCAGAGAAAGTGGGGAGGTGGTGTGGAGAGAAACATAAAACAGAGCAAATAAGTGTGTGGGCTAAAACTTCAGCAGCAGGGAAAAGATTTATTCTCAAACCTTTCCTCAAACCCTCCCACCTCCCACCAAAGTCAAGCATTGTTACCAGTTTCTTGTATATACTTACAAAGCGTCTATGTTTATAATTGCAAATATGCATTTGTAGATTTGTAAAATCTATATGGTAGCATACTATTCTGCACCTTGCTTTTTCCACTTAAAATGAAATGATTTCATTCTTACATATACAGAACTTTCTTGTTCTTTTTTTAATTTTTAACCAATTCACAGCACTCCATTTAATGGCTGAGCTATAATTATTTAACCAATGTCCTATGGACAGGCATTTAGATTATTGCCAATCTTCATTTCAAATAAAGCATCTGGTGGCTATTACCATTCCCTGGCATTCTTTGGCTTGTAGCCACGTCACTCTAATCTTTGCCTCCACATTCACAACGACTTTTCTTTTCTTTTTTTGAGACGGAGTTTTGCTCTTGTTGCCCAGGCTGGAGTGCAATGGCACCAACTCGGCTCACCGCAACCTCCGCCTCCTGGGTTCAAGTGATTCTCCTGCCTCAGCCTCCCTAGTAGCTGGGATTACAGGCATGTGCCACCATACCCGGCTAATTTTGTATTTTTAGTAGAGACGGGGTTTCTCCATGTTGGTCAGGCTGGTCTCAAACTCCCAACCTCAGGTGATCCGCCCGCCTCAGCCTCCCAAAGTGCTGGGATTACAGGCATGAGCCACTGTGCCTGGCCACAGTGACTTTTCTCCTGTGTCTGTCTTTTCCTCTGTATGTCTCTTATAAGGATACCTGTCACTGGGTTTGGTCTCCATCTGGATAATCCAGGATAATCTAATCTCAACATCTTTAATTAAATAGGCAAAGACCCCCCCCCTTTTTTTTTCTCAAATAAGTTAGCAGTCATAGGATCTGGGGATTAGAAAGTAGAATATCTTCTTTGGCACCACCAGTCAGGCCACTACAGACGTCAAGTGATTATGTTGAGTAGACAATGAGGTATATGAGATTAGAATTCAGGAAAGTGATCTGAGTTGTAAATATGTAAATTTGGAGTTATCATCTTATAGATGTTTTTAAGCCATGAAACTGAAGGAAATCACTTAGGAAGAAAAGGAAAGGCATAGGGACCATACCTTGGAGCCCAATATAACTTAGAGGCCAGAAAAACAATAAGAACCCAGTAAAGAGAAGGGAAAATATACGGCCCATGAGAGAGAAACTTGTCTATTTTGATCACTATTGTTTTGCCTTTATTTTAAATGGCTCCTAGCATCTAGAAAACACTCCAAAAAATATTTCTCAAATAATTATTTTTGATTGAGTGGCCAGCGAGGTAAGAAAAAAAAAAAAAAAAAAAAACCAGGCAAGTGTGGAATCCCAGAATTCAAGGGAAGAAGGTTATTTTCAAAAAGGGACCGTTCCTTTTCTGGTTGCAGAGCTGCACAGTAGGCACTTTTGTCCTCACCAGCAGCCCTGCTGTCCAAGGGCCCTCTGCAGTCTATGTGGGTCTTGGTGCACCGCAAACAGGCCAACACTTTCAACAAGGTGAACGGATGGCTCTGGAAATGACTGAGCCAAGCAAACTGCAACAGTAGCAGAATCTGTTCTGCTTCTGGACAAAGACCAATTCACTGGTATGCCCATGGGTCAAATGGCCTAGATTTACAAAATCTGCCAGTTGATCTCCAGAGCCAGAAAAACATGGATGAGGCTTCCAAGAAGGAGACTGAAGACATCCTCACCCAGTACAACCAGCCCCTACTGCCAGCTGACCCCCTCACTGCAAATCCAAGAAGTTCAGAGGCCCCGGTGGCTGTGTTGGCCACCAGAAATCTTACCAATAAGCCCTCCATGAGAAACAGGGTTCACTTTTATATTAAACAATGATTGTGGGATTTTAAGGTTTAAAAAAGGGGGAAAGGAGGGACTCTTTCAGGTTAAGATGATGTGAACATACACACCTATTTTTCTCCCTCCTAAAACCCCACGGAAGAATAATAAATGAGTTTTGTTTTATACCTAAACCTACTAGTGTAAGGAAAATAGTAAAGGATGCAGCAGCAACAAAATTTTGGAAGTTGGCAAGCTAACCAATGTGTGATAACTGATTTAACACTCCTGAGAAACCCACATCCCTAGCTGGCAGCAAGGAAAGTTCAAAACCAACATAATTTGCACCATAGTCTTCAAAACGATCAGAAACTGGCAACACTGGAAAAATCTAAAACTGAGTGTAAAAACAGGTTTCTAAATAAGGAGATGTGGGTAAAGTTGTTTGAGAAGCAGTTAGATTCCCAAATCCCTGACCCCAACCTAGAGGAAACAGAGGAGGGATGTCTTGAGAGTAGGTATCTGGTGATCGCACATCTAGTGCTAAATGCAGACAACCCTAGTCTTCTTCCCCAATCCGACTCCCAGAATGCTGGCAGCCAGAGCTTTATCCTCCAGAAAGGAAAGAGAAAAACTCTTTTCTGCAGAATCTGACCTGCTTAAGAGCAAGACCTAGATACTAACTGCAGAGGTTCCTCTACAAATGGCCCACCCAGATTCCACTTCAGTGAAGATCAAAGTTAAGTCTTTCCCACAGGCTCAGTGTGCCCATCAGTTTTTTAGTCTCACACTTTACTGATCATGAGCAGAGAGCAAAGGAATTAGACACTCGATGAAGAAAGCCTCTATCAAGAAGATGGAACCCAAAATAAGCAAAGAAAAGAAGGCAACTTTGGAGGACAGAGAAGCTTCAAAAATATGTTATCAAAAAGGAAAAGAGAGAATATATTGCATCCGTGAAACAAAAACAAGATACCACAAAAAAGAAACATGCAGAAAATTAGAAAAGTACTCTAAGACATTAAAATATAATAGCAGAAATGGAAACTGTGATAGGTGGGTAGGAAGAGAAAGTTGAGAAAATCTGTCAGAAAAGTGGAACCAAAAATCAAAGTGATGAAAAACAGAAAGGAAAGAAAGTTAGAGTACCATTCTAAGAGGTCCAACATCTGAGTAATGGGGCAAAGAAATCATCAATGAAACAATTCAAGAACATTTCTTGGAAGCAAAGAACATGAGATTACAGATAGAAAAGGCCCACAGAAAAACAGGCACAATGGACATATCATAAAATTTCAGAACTCTAAGAAGAAAAATAATTTCCTAAACTCTCAGAGAGAATAAAACTAATTACATGCAAAGGATTGGAAATATGATCCTTTATCTCTTTTAGAGAAAAATACTGAATATTTACAATAAAACAGAGTAATTCTGGATTTTGATTTAAAATAATTGAAAGTTGGCCATGTGTGGTGGCTCACACCTGTAATCCCAACACTTTGAGAGGCCGAGGTGGGCAGACTGCTTTAGCCCAGGAGTTTGAGACCAGCCTGGGCCACATGGCAAAACCCCATCTCTACAGAAAATTAGCCAGGCGTGGTGGTGCACACCTATAATCCCAACTACTCAGGAGTCTGAGGTGGGAGGATTCCTTGAGGCCAGGAGTTCAAAGCTGCAGTGAACCATGATCGCACCACTACACTCCAGCCTGAGTGACAGAGCCAGACCCTGCCTCAAAAAAGGAAGTAAATAAACAAATAAAATAAAATAATTAAAAGGTCAGAAGTGGGGGATGTGCTGTAGAGGCAATGCAACTGGCTATACATTGACAATTGTGGAGTGATGGGTACATGGGAATTCATTATATTATATATTCATCATATAATTCTCTTTGAACATATTTTAAATTTTCTATAATACAGAGTTCTTTTTATAAACAAAGAAGGAATGATAGGAATGATTTAGATTTCTTAGCAACACCGGAAGCAAGAAGACAATGAAGCAATGGCTTCAAACTCCTGAAAGAAAACTATTTCCAAAGTAGAATTCTATACCTAGACAAACTGTAAATCAAGTGCAAGGGAAGTGCCCAAACAGATGAATCGGCCTTAGCTGAATCAATGGCTGTCCATCCATTTCTCTTGGAAGTAAGACAGAGTATTTGGATACTGAAACAAGTAGGTTTGTATATTTGATAATGGAAATAGGAGGTATTTCTCTTTAATGTGCTTCTGATTGCTTTACTTTGAGGAACTCATATCTAATGGAAAACATGGATGTATAAACAGGTAATGTTTATGTGTACCAAAACAAAATATACTAAGTTCTCCAATAGAGCTATGTTTAGCAGCTTATGGGACTCCAGCTTTGTGCCTCAAGAAAGGATTTATGGAGCTAGTAATGCCCGAGATAAGCCTTAAAGAATGTATAGCAGTTACACAAGTAAAGAAGGAAGGAAAAAGTATTCAAGGTGGTGAAATCACAATTAATAAAGGCATAAAGGAATAAAACATCATGGTGTATGTAGAATACTAGCACAGAACCAAACACAAGGTTGGGCCCCGTGGTTCACGCCTGTAATCCCAGCACTTTGGGAGGCCAAGGCAGGAGGATCACTTGAGGCCAGGAGTTCGACAACAGCCTGAGCAACACAGCAAAACCTTGTCTCTACAAATATTTTTTTTAAAAAAACTAGCTGGGTGTGGTGGCATGTGCTGTGGTCCTAGCTCCTCAAGAGGCTGAGGCAGAGGATCGCTTGAGCCCCAGCAGTCAAGGCTGCAGTGAGCTGTGATCATGCCACTGCGCTACAGCCTGGGTGACAATAATGCTTATTGACATGGACCTGGCATATCTAGTGAGACTAGAGATCATAGATGAAATTGGAAAGTATTATGCAGCTATTGGTTATCTGAATGTTGGGTTTATTGTCATGAAACAGCAGAGTCAGGAAACAAGGTGTTGGCCAGGCGCGGTGGCTCACACCTGTAATCCCAACACTCTGGGAGGCCGAGACGGGCGAATCACTTGAGGTCAGGAGTTTGAGACCAGCCTGGCCAACATGGCAAAACTCCATCTCTACTAAAAATACAAAAATTAGCCAGGCATTGTGGCACACGCCTGTAATCCCAGCTACCCAGGAGGCTGAGGCAGGAGAATTGCTTGAACCCGGGAGACGGAGATTGCAATGAGCCAAGATCTCACCACTGCACTCCAGCCTGGGTGACAGAGTGAGACTCCAGAAAAAAAAAAAGAAAGAAGGAAGGAAGGAGAGAAAGAGAGAGAGAGAGAGGAAAGAAAGAAAGAAAGAAAGAAAGAAAGAAAGAAAGAAAGAAAGAAAGAAAGAAAGAAAGAGAAGGAAGAAAGAGAGAGAAGGAAGGAGGGAAAGAAGGAAGGAAGGAAAGAAGGAAGGAAGGAAGGAAAGAAAGAAAGAAGAAAGAAGGAAAGAAAGAAAGAAAGAAAGAAAGAAAGAAAGAAAGAAAGAAAGAAAGAAAGAGAAAGAAAGAAAGAAAGAAAAGAAAGCAAGAAAGCTAAAAACTGTATTCTGCAGTAGAAGTTAAGGATCTAGAAAGTTTAGGAAACAACCAAGATGGTAAGTTCCTTAAGATCTTAAATGTAAACTGGTAGAAGTCTCCTACCAGTGGACTTCTACACTCAGTCTTAGGAATAGTCTGGATGGCTCACAGTTCACAAATTTGTTTACTAAGGTTGAATTTAGCCCTGGCTTATATTTCATTTATTTAATTCAGCAATGTTTATCATCATTTATTCATTTGCCAGTTGATTCTACAAAAAATTTTAAGCACCTATTTATATAGACACTGTTGACATAAAACAGTCTTTGTGGTGTCTATAGTCCAATGAGAGAGGCAGATGCTAAAGAAATATAGGCACAATTAATACATAAAAGGCATTTTTATGTGGCACACAGTCCATACCATATGACCCAACCAGAAGGTTCAAGTATTTCAGTACAATTTAGGTCAACTTCAATATTAAAAATACTTCCTAAGTACAATAGTAATTTTTAGTGCATATTATAAACAAGGGCCAAGAAAAAAAAACCCTAATTTGATCTTTATATTTGTTAGTTCTTAATGAAAATACTAATTGCTCTTTACCCATTTCTGTGAAACTCTAAATTTTTATTTGTGATGAGTCCAGGTCTATTGGATAGACTTTCAGCATTAGTAAAATGACAGAACATATTACAGGGAAAGTATAAGAACATACAGATTCATTTTCTTTTAAGCTTGGAAACAGGATTCTTTGACTCAAATAGGGCTTCTGTTTGGTGAATTAATGGGTCACCATAACCAAATAATTGTAAGTCACAATTTAACTGAAAACCAGAGAGTAAAAATAGCAAAGACTAAACATATAACATCCTTCTTTCTTCATCTTTGCTTCTGAAAGGTGTGTCTTTCCTGAACTATGAATCACTGCCACAGACTTTGCAAATTTGTTCCATAAGAGGGAAGTACCAGAGCAGCAGTAATGTTCTCATCGCGGGCTTCGCTGCTTCGGAGGGAAGAGGGGCACAGCCTATATAGTTTGGATAACTCTCATTCCCCACAGGTCGCATAAAATGGAAACTGTTAAAACATAAATATTCTGCATTGTTTCACATTACCTTTACACAATAACTGTGACGACTATACTAATAGCAGGCATGATCTTATTGCTTCCTTTCCTTCTTAAACTTGAGTCTTGGGTATCATCATAATCAACATTCTAAAGCTTCCAACATCTCAATCCTAAAAAGTAAATGAAAGCATGGTCCATAAAATTTACAGCTTATGTTTAGTATTTTGGCAACTATTGCTACTCCATAGGCCTGAAAGTAAAATAAATAGGGCTTGAATTTTGAGTCGAAATCAAAATTAAGGTTTTCTTTTTCTTTTATGACTTGGCTTGCTACAGAATTCTGATTGCTACAGAAAAAATTCTGAAAAATATTTGGTAAAATTCTGATTGCTAAAAAATTTTTATGAAATTCCCAGATTAATAATTGTTATTTTAGCCAAAAGTTTTTCAACATTGTTAAAATATAGCATTGGCTAAAGTCTCTCTCTCTATGTGTATGTGTGTGTGTGTATGTATATATAGATGCACACAGACTTTATTTATAATTTTTGCATGCCCTAAAATTTCCGTTTATGTATTCTTTCTGATTGTTTTTCCAAAAAATTAACACCCACATTGACTTATTAGCTTCTCTCCTAAGATAATTTTCTCTCCATATATGAAACAAAGTTGAAAAAAAATAGCTTCTTTTACATCATATAGTAATAATTTCAGTATCACATATTTTCTTCTTTGTCTTCCCAATAACAATTGCTTGAACAATGATGATAATGAATTTGTGGGTGAAATTATTATTACTTTGTGCTTCTTTACCCTCTTTTGTGTAATTAAGGGTACAGTGTACTTCTTTACCTTCTTTTGTGTAATTCAGGGTACAGTGTACTGTTTTACCCTCCTTGTGTAATTCAGGTACAGCAGCACCACATAGTGGACATTTTGGTACTTCTCCGTGAAGAATCATTTCGCTTACCTTCAAAGCAATTGGTTTGCTTTAAGGAATGCAATTTGTGTGGATATTGCTGATGATTATCTCTCTTAATATTGCTCTGGTGAGCCAACATGTGAAGTTACAGATTTCACCTAATATAAGAACAATAATCAGCCTCACAGTCATTGTGAAAAGATAAAAGAGAAGTATTTTAAAATAAGTGTGAAGATACATATAAGTCTGTGCTTCAAATTTACTATGTAATACTAATTATTTCCTAATGTATACTTTGTAAGGGAAGCAAAGCCAATGCTTAGATTTTAGTAATAATAATTCTCAGAGTAAGCCATTCATCCTCATCCATATTCCTATATATCTATAGAAAGAGGCCTAATAGAGGTAATTGTTGCTGTTGTGATTAAATCAAGGCACAAAGAAAAAAATAATGTATGCTATCCCAGGAGTTGATATGTAAATCCAGTTAGCAAAGAGAAAAATTATGCTAATATTAACATTGTCATTTTTTTTGCCACAGTAAGTCTGGATTTGTCAGACATCAATTAAAATCAGGGTGTGAGCAAGGATTTTACACATTCATGGAGAAACATAAAGAGCTGCCATCTAAATGCAATAATACAGTATTTAACATTGTTCTAATAGTCACACCACTTTTTGTCCCAGAATAATTTATGCTCCCTGACTCAGCATACAACTCCCTGGCTAGATTGGAACAGAAACAAACTGACAACCCAGAGAGGAAGCATTGTGTAGAAGGGACAACTCACCCACAGCCCCATGCTTTAGGGGCTTCAGCCAGTTTGTTCATAGAATCAGACTCACTGGAAATATTCAGGACTTAGAATGGTGCAAGGCGAAAAGGAGCAAAGGGAGTCATTTGCAAAAGATAAAAAACACAGTCACTTCTACAGAGTTCAATCATGCAATCACTTGTTGAATTAACCAGACAACATTTCTCAGTTAACGTCTACATGAAAAGCACTGATCCAGGCACTATGGACTATAGAGCAGGGGTTGGCAAACCACAGCTAGTATGTGGCCTGTTTTTCTACAGCCTGTGAGCTGGGGATGAATTTACATTTTAAAAGATTGTTTAGAAAGGGGACAGACAGAGTAAAGAATATATGACAGAGATATTTTGCCAGCAAAACCTAAAATACTGACTATCTTGTCTTTTACAGAAAAAGTTTGCTGACCCCTGCCATCGAGACAGATTTAACACTCAATAAACTTAGAGTCTAGAAAGGACACTAAAACATAACAATAGAACAAACTCAATAACTTATAACTTTCAACCATTTACTGTGTGTTCAGAACTGGGTTAAGGCTGGTTGTGATGGGTGATACCTGTCATCTCAGCACTTTGGGAGGCCCAGGCCGGAGGATTGCTTGAGCCCAGGAGTTTGAGACTAGCCTGGGCAATAGAACAAGACCCCATTTCTACAAAAAATATCAAATAAAAATTAGCCATAAGAGGTGGCACATACCTGTAGTCTTAGACACTTGGGAGGCTGAGGCAGGAAAATCGCTTCAACCCAAGATTTTGATGCTACACTGGGCTATGAATGCACCACTGCACTCCAGCCTGGCTGACAGAGCTAGACCCTGCCTCTTAAAAAAATTAATTAATTAGTCTGGGCGCAGTGGCTCACGTCTGTAATCCCAGCACTTTGGGAGTCCACGGTGGGTGAATCACAAGGTCAGAAGATCAAGACCATCCTGGCCAACATGGTGAAACCCTGTCTCTACTGAAAATACAAAAATTAGCCAGGTGTGGTGGCGTGCGCCTGTAGTCCCAGCTACTCAGGAGGCTGAGGCAGGAGAATCGCTTGAACCCAGGAGGCAAAGGTTGCAGTGAGCCGAGATCGCACCACTGCGCTCCAGCCTGGGGTACAGAGCGAGACTCTATCTCAAAAAAAAAAATTAAAAATTAAAATAGAATTGGGGTAAGTGTACTATATTCATTATTTCATTTAATCTTCACCAAAGAAAGTATGAGGTAGTTATAATTATTATCAATTTAACAATGAATAACCCAAGACTTAAAAAGGCTAATAAATAAGATCATGTAAATGACCAAATCTGGGATTAAAATCTAGGCCATCTAGCCCACAGCACTTAACCACTCAGTTCAGGTACATAAATAAGAATGAAAAAAAGAGTAGAGAAATATAAAACTATAATATACTGCAGCAAAACAGAGGTGGCAGATAACACTTCCAGAGGGCTGTTCAGGGAAGATCCTTGGACATGGTAGTTTTTAAGTTGGGCCTTGGAAGATGCGAGTGATTCAGATGCCTGACATTGCAGGGAAGGGCAGTCAGCTTTGGAACTGCCTAGGGGCAGAAGCATGGTGGGTGTTGGGGAGCGGTGAGCTCCCCACTGAGCAGAAAGAGAATGTACAGGAAGATACTACTGGGAGATGAGTAGGAAACCTCGGTTAGAGCTAGACTGTGGATGGTGCTGAACAAAGGAAAAATGGGGAATTTAAATAAATGAAAGTGACTGGACATTTATGACTAAACAGTTGACACAATCAGCCCTGTACTCTGGGGAGATTAATCTTACAAGGGTGTTTTGGATGGATTAGAAGAAGAACTAGAGACAGGAAAATAAATGAGTAGGCTATTAACAATAATCCAGGTCTGAGATTGATGAAGACCTGAACTAGAGTAGAGACAGTGAAAACAGCATGCTAGAGAGGAAAATGTATTGTTAAGGTCTCCACCTACCAAAGCCACTCACTAAGTAATGCAAGAGGGAAAAGATAAGTGGTCTGGCAACGACAATCCCCCCACCCCGCTTCCTCAGACCCCTAATAAAGGCTAAATGTTGTCTTCTTTTGATAATTGTCACTAATTTTTCCCCAGCCTTGTGCCACCACACTACCATGCATAAACACATACACACGGGTACAATATACACGGACATCAGTTTTACTGACTGAAGATCCCAATATTGGTTATCTTGATAAAGTCAAATTTACTTTAATGGAATTTCACCTGAATAAAAATGTCCATGTTTTGAGGTTGAGTGGGGAGGTAGGGGAAACAATGCCACACAGTATGATTTACCGTGTTTACAATCCACAGGAATTGCCCTCTACATGGGTTGTGACATCTATACCCAAATCGACAACTCACACTTCAGACATATAGGCCTTGGTTTAATGAATCTGTCACTTTAAAACATGGACTCTAGGCCAGGCATGGTGGCTCACGCTTGTCATCCCAGCACTTTGGGAGACTGAGGCAGGAGGATCACTTGAGGTGAGGAGTTCAAGACCAGCCTAGGCAACATAGTGAGACCCCATCTCCATAAAATTTTTTTAAAAATTAGCTGGGTGTGGTGATGTCAACTGTAGTCCTAGCTACTCAGGGAGCTAGGACAGAAGCATCGCTTTACCCCAGGAGGTCAAGGCTGCAGTGAGCTATGATGGTGCCACTGCACTCCAACCTGGGTGACAGAGCGAGACACTATTTCAATTTTTGTAAAATTAAAAAATTAAAATTAAAATTGAGTGTCTATTCAGCAGGGGAAAGAAGAGAAGGTTCAATCTCTGCCCTTGAGAAGCTAAGAGTTTAATAGGCAAATGGAATATATATGCCAAATAAATACAGGACATTTTAATAAAGCAACATGTTAATGCCATCAAATTGTATTCCTTTGGAGGACTTAAGGCATGTATTCTTTTTCTGAATAGCTGAATAATCTGAACAGGTGAGTTTACCCATTGTTTCATTCCCCATTTACATGTCCAACCTCTTTATTTCAACCTCCCTGAATAAACTTTTTAAAAGGCTACTCACTACCATCACTCCTTAAACAGTATTTGGGCCTTGCTGGGACAGATTGGTGGTGAGTCCATAACAAAGGGCAGGAAGTGACTCGGTAAATCCTTTTTTTTTTTTTCTGGGACGGAGTCTCACTCTGTTGCTCAGGCTGGAGTGCAGTGGCGCGATCTCAGCTCGCTGCAAACTCCGCATCCTGGGTTCAAGCAATTCTCCTCCCTCAGGCTCCCGAGTAGCTAGGATTACAGGCGGCACGCCCAGCTAATTTTTGTATTTTTAGTAGAGACGGGGTTTCACATGTTGGCCAGGCTGGTCTTGAACTCCTGACCTTATGATCCGCCCGCCTTGGCCTCCCAAAGTGCTGGGATTATAGGCGTGAGCCACCTCACCTGGCTGTGACTTGGTAAATTCTAGGGACTGACCAAAGCCAAGCATAGAATGGCTTTGTTATCCCAAAATTGTGATTACTTCAAGCCACGGTGGAGAGATGAAAATGTAGATGAGAGGAAAAGCAAATTCAAAAGCCAAACATGGCTATATTAAGCATTGAGGTGAAAGAGTAGGGTGAGGACCCAAACCACTGGCAACAACACTGGAAGCCAAGAGAGTGAGAGAACGGAATGCAGGGCAGTGGAGCTGGTGAGTCAGGCATCTGAGACAGAAGGTCCTTGTTCTGTAAATGTGCAGTGAAGTCTTGCCTGGCCTACGTGGAGAGAGGAGCCCCTTAAAGGTGACACCAAACTGGACAGCCACAGTCTACTGATCATTAATGTGTTCTGGATTGGGAGATGTTACAGGACAGTGGGACTAACAAATCTAAGTGCATGCATGCTGAAATGATGACAAATAGCAAAAGTGTCAATATAATCAAACAAAATAAATCAGGTATATTCTCGTAGGGGTGACTTTGCACTCGGATTTCAAAGCTCATATTCTAGGCCTTCTTTGCTATTGTTGACTCACCTGGTCAAATTGTCAACAGCATGCTATGGGCTCCTTTCTGCACCAATGTGCCTTTGAATCCCAAGTACCACTGCCCTCAATGTTTGAATCATCTTTGAGCCTACAGGTTAGGATTCTTGGTAGTAAAGGAAGAAGGCAGATTTTTTGAGGAGCTATTCTGGGAGCCTTCTTGTTATCCACTGGACACTGCTTATTTCACTTGTGGACTTACAATGTAGCAGCTGTGTTTCGATTTCTCCTGTAAGGCTTGCTGCAGAGGAATATCATCAATTAAAATGGACAAAAGGAGAGCACAAATTACTTTACCAGTTACCCCTAAGCTGACAGTCTGTAGATTACAACCAAATCTTAAAGTGTTTTCCCGGTCAATTGTACTATTCCATAGCTCTTAAGTGTCTATTTGAAGACCTAAAGCAGGTGATGTTTTCGGCCCAGATCCAGAGTTTAAAATTTGTGTAATATAATGTAAGTCTACCTACAGTTTTATGAGAATTTCTGTTAAGCTTTTGGGAGTTTGGTCTGTATGCTGTCATTCTTCATTTTCAAAGAATACATTTTTTAAATGATGGTGTTTCCTATATATACTTCCCATCATCGGCAACATCTAACCTGAGTTATTTATAAGCTGCTCTCAACTTTCAGAACTTTTCTGCCTCACATGTATGTTCCAGCATACCAAACTTGATTCTTTCCCCCCTCTCTCTCTCACTATGGATGGAGAAAGCTTTAAGAGGCCCTTGGTGTGTTTGTGTGGTAGGAGAGAGCTTGTGGGGAGAAGGATGGATTGGGGAGTGGAGACATGGAAACAGTTCTGGAAAAGTGGCTTTGCACAGAGCTGCTCCATCCACGTGATACTTTAGCAGTCCAAGCTGCAGAAAGGGAAGGCTGGCCACATGCCAGCTGCTCACTGGGAAAGAGTGATGGCTCCTGTAGACTGGCAGCAGGAGTTTGTTCTGCCTCTTCAAAATGCTGTCAGGAGACTTCTTTGCCAATGAATGAATCCTCAGGCCACTAAAGGGGGTAAGGGGATTCACACATACGCCTCCAGGTGAGAAGCATGGAAAAAAGGTTTCCTCTCCCCTGTACCTAGGAGATCTGGTCATAGTTCTGATTTTACTAACAGCTAGCTGTGTGGGCTAAGGTAAAATTATTTGACATCTATAAGTTCCAGTTATTTTGTTGTGAATAAAGAGGGGATCTGAGTAAAGAATGTCTCTGACTCTAAAATGCCATGGGCCTGTAATCTATCAGTGTGAGTGGTAACCTCAATAAAAGTGAAAGTCTGGTGTGGCAGCTCTTCTAGAGCTTCTTTTGTCTAGTCATGTCTATAATCAGGCCAAGTCCTGTAGTTTGTGGGATTGACACAAGATTCAAAATAACTGTGTGTCATCAGAAACAAAAGTTTGGAAAAGACATTTCCCCAAACTAAATTAAATATCACTGCTCAAAAATAATAAAATGCTATAGAAAGAAAATATCAACGCCACCACAAATCAACATTGGAGGAACAGCCCTAAAAAACATCTGGAAAATAGCATTAAGTTAACAAACCACTAGATAAAATGTTTGATTTCCCAGGCACTGATGTTACTAACTGCAAAAGCAGTTAAAAAGTCTTATGAGGAATAATATCTTGGCACTCATGAACAGCAAGAAACCCAGCTGTTTGCACTTGCTGTATAACAAGTGCCAATGCACATACTGTAATCCTCAGTCTGCTGAGCACTGCAATGGCAAACAGCACAATGTGACAGAAAGTTCCTGATTGGGCAAGAGTGATCAGGCTATTGGGACTCAGTAACAGGCAAATGCCTCCTTTTACTACAACAGCCCACTTCCAGGGCAACTTCCTTGTGAATTGTTGTTTCTTGCTATATATTCATTCATTTGCTTTTACTAGAAATTTATATCATGGTCTGGAAAGAACTTCTATTTCCAGGCAAGAGTTCCTTTAAACCATACCAGATGTCGGAAACATTATGAGACTGGCCTAAGAAGAGGAGAAGAGGGGATTTGAACATGAGCTATATAAGTGACAGACAGAAAAGGAAAGGGCCCATAGGTGAGTGGACATGAAGAGAGATAAGCAGATAAGCACACTAAAGCAAGATCATGGGAATCCGTGAAACTCTCCATCTCAAAGTGCTAGAAGCATACCCATCCTGCAACTGAGATTTTGAAAGAGACTAAGATAAAGCTAGAAGACAAAGGAGAAAGGAAGTGTTCAGACATCCTGACATGTTATTTCCAGTGCTACTTAGGCACTCATTGAAATCAGCAATTCTTTAGAATTGAGAAGGAAAAGTCTAATCAACTTGGCTATCATTTCATTCAATGATTAATTGTTAAGCTCCTAGTAGGTATCAGGAAAAGTTCTAGGTATGGAAGGTGGTGCAGAATAATAATGAACAAATAAAAAATGGTCTGTTCCGAAAGATACATTATTTAGGCAATCTCCTGTATAAATGATCAATCACCATCTACAACAAGTGTTAAGAAAACAAAAAATATATATGTAGGAAGGGGGTTTCTTCTCTTTCTTCTATGTACACATTAGAAAAGATGGATAATAATCAAATAACAACAAAAATAAATATACAAGTGCAACTGTGATGAGTGCTACAAGGAGAGGTAGATGGTTCTATGAGAAATAATTAGAATAGTTGGCCTTGTCAGCAAGGTAAGGGATGGCTTTCTTGAGGAAGGGATTTTTGAACTTTCATCTACAGGATAAGTGGAATTTCATTATGTGAAGAAGGGGTGTTCTGTGCCGGAAACACACGAGCAATGAAGAAAAGACACACACACAATCCCTTTAAGGGTAAACAACCTTTATTCCACGTAAATGGCAATGCAGATATAATAAGCAAATGATGTAATAAGCAAATGGATGTAATAAGCAAATTGCAATGGGGAGAGGAGAAAGGAAAAGATATATATATATTTACACTCACCAGACTGTGAAGGATTCACCACCAGACTGGAAAGCAACAGCCTGGGCTCCAGAGTCAGACACTTGTCCGTGCACAGATGAGGAGAGGTCTCATGAAGCTTCGTTGTGGTCTGGGACCATAGCTCCTTTTGTAATGAGTTGTTTGGCATGAGGCCCAGTCACGAGGCCCCTTCACGACTGGACTCAAGGAACACAAAAAGGTCAACTTGTTTTTGCGATTGTCTGTTGTTTTTCAACAACTAACATATAGGAATAGATTGAAATAGAGATTTCTCCAAAACAGTGCTGGACGAATGCCTCAAGGGGCTCACACAACCTGTTCCAGGACTTGGTGACCATTGTTTGTGTCTATGTTCAATTGAGTTCAAATTTAGTATTTAACTTTTCCTCCACAAGGCTCTGGATGGAGGTGGGGAAGGGTTCTCTAGAAAAGAGTCTAAATAAATGGGCTAATCAAAGTGCTGAGAGGCCAGTACTCAGGAATGGAGAGCACTGATATGGAGGCTGCTGCAAACTGAAACTAGGGGGGAAAATGTAGGAGAAAAATGTACAGGTGTCTATAGGAGTTTTGTCTTTGATCTCAAAGCTTTAAAGGGTTTTTTTTTGCTGAGGATAACATGATCAGATTTGGCACTGAGAAGATC
Organism: Homo sapiens; assembly: GCF_000001405.40. Lineage (NCBI taxonomy): Eukaryota > Metazoa > Chordata > Mammalia > Primates > Hominidae > Homo > Homo sapiens. Next base: position 109,414,901 of record NC_000004.12, read on the forward strand.
CCTCTGGTTGCATTGTGTAGAATGGATTACAGGATGCAGATAGACTACTCAGTAAATTATTTCTGTAGTCCAAGTGATAGAGGATGGCAGCTTGTAGGAGGATGGTGGTGATGGTGGAGGAGATGGAGTTTCTGAGAAACTCTAAGGGAGTGTAACATAAGCATGTTAGGTCTATGACTGTGGAGTTGGCAGACAGCCCCAAAAGCCACATTTTTCATTCAAACAAGAATTTGCTTTGAATGAAAAAGGAAGGCAATGGCATTGTAAGAAACACGAACAATCAAGGAAGCTTACCATATCCTTTCTTATTCATGTTACTTCCCAGTATTGGCCAACCACCTATGCTAAAAATGACATAGAAGGAGAGGGAAATATGGAAGAACTCATAGTTCTTTTTCTTTCAACCCTTCCTTCTTTTTCAGTAAGTTAAAAGTAGAGTATTCATAAAATGTGCACCTATCAAGAAGTGAAAAAAAGAGTTAATTTTGTGCAGCATTTCCTCTCTTCTTTTGGGAACAAAATGCATATGCATGTATGAACGAGGTATGAATTGTGTAATTTTGGTAATTCCACATATGAGTTAAGTGCTCTTATATTTGCATTTATTTGTTTGTTTATTTATTTATTTAATTTTTAGAGACAGGGTCTTGCTCTGCTGCCCATGCTGGAGTGCAGTGATGTGATCATGGCTCACTATAGCTTCAACTACCTGTGCTCAAAGGGTCTTCCCACCTCAGCCTCCCAAGTAGCTGGAACCACAGGCATGTGCCACATGCTAGCTTTGTTTTGTTTTGTTTTGTTTTGTTTTTGTAGAGACCCAGCTAGCTTTTTTTTTTTTTTTTTTTTTTTTTTTGTAGAGAGGGGGCTCTCATTCTGTTGCCCCCGCTGGTCTTGAACTCCCGGGCTCAAGCAATCCTCCCACTTCAGCCTCCCAAAGTGCACAGATTACAGGCATGAGCCACCACACTTGGCCATACATATATTTAACTGACATTGCACAATATAATGATGAATAGTAAATTCATGCTAATAAAAAATTTAATTTTTATTTATTTACAATTACACTAAATTAAAAGAGACACCGTAACAAGTTGAGAGAGACTATAGAAGAAAAGCAAAAACATATTTTAGTACTTCAGGGGCACTTTTGCCTTTGTCTTTTGAATAAGGCATTCAGCATTTTCATCTTACATGAAAATGATGTAACAGGCCCTGCACAATACATACCTTCCTAGGTTGTAGTTGGCTATGTATTTGCTCAATTCCCACTAGGCTGCCACAGCTAAACACATGGTAAGCAGGACGGAAATGGCAAATAAAAACAAATGTGGATTTGGGTAAGGAGAGACTTGATTCAAAATGATTATTACAATAGGAGGAGAGGGACTATGGCAATAGGGAGAACACTCGGACCATGCAAACTGCAAGTTTCTCATTGGTCTTTATAAGGAGATTAGCACACAGACATGTGCATGCACAGAGGAAAGACCATGTGAGGACACCACCGTGAGAAGACAAGTCTTCTAGCCGATAGAAGTCTATCTGCAAGCCAAGGAGAGAGGCCTCAGAAGAAACCAAATCTGCCGATACCTTGATCTGGAACTTCTAACCTCCAGAACTATAAGAAAATAAATCTGGGTTATTGAAGCCACCCAGTCTGTGGTATTTTGTTATGACAGCCCTAGCAAATTAACAGTCTTCTTATTTTTGAGATACTTTGTGTATTCTGTACACAAGCCTTTGTCAGATATATGTATTGCAAATATTTTCTACTGGACTGACTTGCCTTATCATTTTCTGAAAAGTATCACTTAAAGAACAGAAGTCTTTAATTTTCATAAAGTCAAATTATTCAGTTCTTTTATATTATGGTTTGTGCTTTTCTTTTTTAAGACAGGGTCTCACTCTGTCACCCAGGCTAGAGTGCAGTGGGACGATCACAGTTCACTGCAGCCTCAAATTCCTGGGCCCAAGAGATCCTCCCACCTCAGCCTCCTGAGTAGCTAGGACCACAGGTGTGCACCACCACACCTGGCTATTTTTGTTTTTTATTTTTGGCAGAGACAAGGTCCCAGGCTTGTCTTGAACTCCTGATCTGAAGTGATCCTCCCACCTCAGCCTCCAAAGGGCTGGGATTATAGGCATGAGCCACCACACCCAGCTGGTTTGTGCTTTTTTGTGGAGTCATTCCCAAGTCACCTCTCTGCCTCATTATATCAACCAGGGATGAATAAGGAGACTAAAAACATGCCGGTTATATCAACAGAAAAGTTTAATATAAATAATTATTAAGTAGTAAATATGGTGTACTACTAAAAGAGATAAAAGAGGACTCTAAGGGGTATAGAAATAGCAACTGCAGATGGTGGCCACTACCTCTAAAGCCAATGCAGAGTGCACGAAGAAGAAAATGTTAAAATTTAGAGGGGGCAGTCCAGGCACAGTGGCTCACTCTTGTATTCTCAGCACTTTGGGAGGCCAGATGGGAAGACTGCTTGAACCCAGGAGGTCGAGGCTGCAGTGAGCCATGATCGTGCCACTGCACTCCAGACTGGGTAACAGAGCGAGACCCTGTCTCAAAAAATAAGTTAAAAAAATAAGTAAATAAAAAATAAAAAATTTAGAAGGGGCATTTCCCCACTAAGGCTGAGAGTCAGGCCTCTCAGGAGAGGTATGACTGCCACAAAAACATTCAGCCTGCTGGTGACATGGAAATTTCTGGAGGATGGGATCCCAGCAGCCTACCCATAGGGCACAGATCTCAGAAGGTTAACAGGACTCACTGACCACAGCTCTGGTCTCAAGATTTGTACTGCTTAGTTAAAAACACTCCAAGCAGGAGAGGAGAGGGGAGGGGAAAGAGGAGGGAACCCAGGACAAAGAAGACTAAAAAGGAGCCCAACAGATAAGAGCAAAAACAGGAAAGTGGGGAGTAATGGAATCTGAGAGTTGGGCATTTAATGCTGCTAAAAGAATTCTTGGCCAGGCGCGGTGGCTCACACCTGTAATCCCAGCACTTTGGGAGGCCAAGGTGGGCAGATCACAAGGTCAGGAGTTTGAGACCAGCCTGGCCAATATGGTGAAACCCCGTCTCTACTAAAAATACAAAAATTAGCCAGGTGTGGTGGTGGGCGCCTGTAGTCCCAGCTAGCGGGGAGGCTGAGGCAGAGGAATTGCTTGAACCCAGGAAGCAGAGGTTGCAGTGAGCCAAGATCGTTCCACTGCACTCCAGCCTGGGCAACAGAGCGAGATTCAGTCTCAGAAAAAAGAATTCATCAGTCTTTTTTTTTTTTTTTTTTTTTTTTTTTGTGACGGAGTCTCGCTCTGTCGCCCAGGCTGGAGTGCAGTGGCGGGATCTCGGCTCACTGCAAGCTCCGCCTCCCGGGTTCACGCCATTCTCCTGCCTCAGCCTCCCAAGAGTCTTTTGTATTTGATATTTCTTTCTTCTAGCCCACCTTCATTTAATTCTATTTAACCTTTTATCTTTCCATATCTGCCTAGATATTGTCTCTTCTGGATGCCTTCTCAAACCTGCCCCCAGCCCCAACACATGGTTAGTGCTCCTTTGGCTGCCAAACACCCTTGTGTTTACCCTTGTGATAAAATTTAAGCTCCTTGAAGTAAGAGATTATGTTCCATTCTGCATTCTATCACTGGATCACAATATACTCCTCAGCATGTTGTTAGTATTTCAACATTTGATAATTTTTAAAAATCTGAATAAATCACTCTTTTCTCTGTCCTCTACTCTTTTTACTTGTACTTTTGTCATGGAACTTATTAGCTATCACTACTTTTGTAAATTGTTTTCTCTCCCACAAAAACTGTTAGCTTCTACTAATCTTTGGATTCCTTTGATTGACAAGCATTGTGCATTGCACAAAGTAAGTATTTACTGATTATATGCTGTATTAAATGTCACCAAACTCATAAAAGGTAATTATAATGTTGTAAAACTGATTTTGTGGTTGGCCTATAAACTGGCTCTGAAGATATTTTTAAAATAATTTTATCAGAAGGCATGCAAGAATCTTGGAGTATTGGTTTATACTCATTTGGCTGCGGGAAACAGAAACTCTATCAAGTTACAGATTGAGTATTCATAATTTGAAAATCCCAAATCCTCCAAAATCCAAAATTTTTTGAGCACCAACATGACACTCTAAGGAAATGCTCAGCGTAGCATTTTGGATTTCAAACTTTTATACTGGGGATACTCAACATGCAGTTTCAATAGAAAGGAGGGAGCATTTCTTACTATAAGGAGTAGGAGTACAGCCGAGACTCTGGAATGGGCTGGAATCAGGCCCTTCATCACTGGCAGCAGTACTCTTTGTCACTCCTTTCTGCAAGTCCTCCACTCGCAGTGATACTTCATTCAGTCTTTCATCCTTTTCCTCCTTTTCTTCACTGATATCAATGAATGGGATTACAAGGTAGAGGAGGGAAATGCTGTTGGTAAGCATTCTGTCTGGTTGAAGATGGACCCCTGCAGCTCAAGAATTTACATCTCCTCCATTTAAGAGAGATTGCAAACTGAGACTGGATTATTTTATTTCACTCTCAAATTGAGAGTGAAGGAACTTTTATTTACCTTTTCAAAAATCAAAATTTTGTTTTTGTCAAGTGCCTACTCCTAGTCCAAGCAACAAGTGTCCAAGCAGGGTCATGTAGTGAAAGAATGGCTGTAACTATGAGAACCAGGGAGTAGATGGGGGTAGGGAGGAAGGAAAACTCAATGGAACTAGACAGAAGCATTGTAACCCAGGATCTCAGTTTTAAACATATTTTTTAATCACCCATTCTCTTTTTCTCCCTTCCCTCCTCTCTTACCCCTTCATTCCTTCCCTCTCTAGACACTCCCCTCCAGCAATGCAAGCTTATCTAATTATGTTCCTACTTAAGAAATTCCAGAGGCTAATCTTGAAACAAACCAGGTGCGGAGTCCCAGCTGCAGCATCCTCCCACTCAGCAGGGGTCACAGTTAGTCCACCACCACTGGGCTGCAGTAAAGATGACACCAAGCAGACCTCCAGAGAGAATTACGCAAGCTAGCCATCTGAACAAAGACACACAGACCCCACATCCTGCACCACTCCCCCATGTCTCCTATACCAAATTTCCCTTTAAAAACTCTATGATAAATTTTAAAATTTAAGATGGCACTTGAGACAGCTAGTTCACTATCTTCCAGGTTTGCTGGCTCTCCAGTTAAACCTGCTTTTCCTTCCACCAACCCTCGCCTCTCATGTCTGGCTTTTCAGCTATGAGCAGCCAAATCTGTGTCTGGTTACAGTATCCTAATAAGTTATTCTCTACACCAAGCCACCTGGGTCGAGATTAAAAGGAAGAAACTAAGTCTTCCAGTAAACCTATACAACTATAGGGCTGACCCTAAATTTGTTAGTAAGCAATCCAATGTAGGTAGAGCAGGGTCAGGTTTGATGTGTTTTGGCCGACACGAAGGGCTTAGGTCTCATTCGTTTACATATTAGATACAACAACTGATGGGGCTGAGGCTCCTTATATAGCTTGCTTAGTAGTAGCTTATCTATTGGTTGAGCCCAGCCAAATTTAAAGGTACTGAGACTAAGAAAAAAACAATTTTTTTTTTTTTTGAGATGGAGTGTCAGTCTGTTGCCCAGGCTGGAGTGCAGTGGTGCAATCTTGGCTCACTGCAACCTCTGCCTCCTGGGTTCAAGCAGTTCTCCCTGCCTCAGCCTCTCGCGTAGCTGGGATTACAGGTGTCCACCACCACACCCAGCTAATTTTTGTTATTTTGAGTAGCGACCGGGTTTTGCCATGTTGGCCAGACTGGTTTCGAACTCCTGACCTCAGGTGATCCATCAGCCTTGGTTTCTCAAAGTGCTGGGATTACAGGCATGAGCAGCAGAACTAAGAAAATATTGAAGCTTACGATTTTCAGTTTATTTCGAGTACTAGCACTGTACTAGTCCATTCTCACACTGCTATAAAGACTAACCTGAGACTCGGTATTTATAAAGAAAAGAAGTTTAATTGGCTCATGGTTCTGTGGGCTGTACTGGTGTCTGCTTCTGAGGTGGACTCAGGAAACTTACAATTATGATGCAAGGTGAAGGGGAAGGAGGCACATCTTCACATGGCAGAGCAGGAGAGACAGAGAGTGAAGGGGGAAGTGCTACACATTTTCAAACAACCAGATCTCATGAGAACTCACTCACTATTATGAGAACAGCAAGGTAGAAATGTGCCCCCATGATCCAACCACCTCCCACCAGGTCCCTCCCCAACACTGGGGATTACAATTCAAATGAGATTTGCGTGGGAACATTGAGCCAAACCATTGAGCCAAACCATATCATGCACATTGCTAAAATAAACGTATCATTACCCAAGCTGATTGCTTTGAAAGGCAGCATTTATTTATGTGGCTATGTGCTGAGAAGTATGAAAAAAATTAATTTCATTATATTGTATCACAATTCATACCATTTGTCCTATATTTATGATAGGAGAAGATGACATTAAGCATGGTATATACTTAATGTCTCATTTGTTTTACAAACTAAGAAGTGACAAAGGAAATTAACCCCCCAAATCACTGAATATTATGAGATCTACTCTGCCTTATTGTCATATGATAACTATTTGCCTAGAATCTATGGATTTTTAAAATATTAAAGCATAACTCACTGACCAGAACTGGTCCCATGGTCCAATCTAATCACCATGTGCAAGGCAGTCATGTGCCAATGGTGAAATGCTAGAACAATATGGTAGCCGCAGTACCAATGCTTATTCTCTGCCACACACTTTCCCCCACCACGTCCCCACCCTAACACTTTAAGGTTAAAATGCAGACAAAACTTTACCTGAATTTTAAAATAAAAAGAAATAGTACAGTGTTATCAGAACAGAGTAGATTCTTTTTGTAATAAAGACAGGATCTTATTCTGTTGCCCAGGCTGGTCTTGGACAACTAAGATCAAGTGATCCTCCCAGCTTAGCCTCCTAAAGTGGTGGGATTACAGATGTGAGCCACCGCGCCCAGCTCAGAAAGTAGATTCTTTTTATTTTATTTTATGATTTTAAGTTCCAGGGTACATGTATGGGATGTGCAGGTTTTTTACATAGGTAAACATGTGCCATGGTGGTTTGCTGCATCTATCAACCCATCATCTAGGTACTAAGTCCAGCATGCATTAACTATTTTTCCTGGTGCTCTCCCTTCCCCCACTCCCCCTGACAGGCCCCAGTGAGAAAGTAGATTCTTAATGTTGAAATTTTAGGTGTGGGACAAGGGGACTATAAAGATAAACAGAAATGGATGTAGATACAGAGTTTCCTGTACTCTCAGATGAGACGACTGCATAAACAGCTTTACTTAAGCAGATTCATGGTGCTGGGACTGTTCAAAAAGTGTTGCATGCTATGTAGTGCGAAGTTGAAGGATTCTAGCAGCATTAAAGAAAATGTTAATTTATTTGGTTCCATCTCATCCTAGTCAATAAGTCAACACATACAAATTGTTCCCCTTTTTGATTGCCTAGAAGTAAGCACTTTTATCTATTCAGTTTTTAGATTCCTATGCATTGCTTTCAAATCAATTGCATGAATGGAAAACTCTTCTCATTAATCACATTCCTCTCCACGCCAGCGAAGTCTCCTCAAGTCAGAGCACATCTACACATCGTCCACCAGATGGCGGTGGAAGCCCACCGACATTGTAGACTACGTAGGAAGAGCGTCCAGATGGAAAAGCGGGTTGGGGCTTTCTGGTCTGGTTTTTTTGTTTTGGGTTTTTGTTTGTTTGTTTTTGTTTTTTGTTTGTTCGTTTGTTTAAGACGGAGTTTCGCTCTGTCGCCCAGGCTGGAGTGCAGCAGCGCGATCCTGGCTCACTGCAACTTCCGCTTCCCGGGTTCAAGCGATTCTCCTGCCTCAGCCTCCCAAGCCCTGGGACTACAGGCGCAGGCCACCACTACGGGCTAATTTTTGTATTTTTAGTAGAGACGGGGTTTCATCATATTGGCCAGGTTGGTCTCAGACTCCTGACCTTGTGATCCGCCCACCTCGGCCTCCTAAAGTGCTGGGATTACAGGCGTGAGCCACTGCGCCCCGCTTCTGGTCTGTTTGTAAAACTAATCATTTCGGGAGGCTGAGGCAGGAGAATTGCTTGAACCGGGGAGGCGGAGGTTGCAGTGAGCTGAGATTGCGCCATTGCACTCCAGCCTGGTGACAGAGCGAGACTCCATCTCAAAACAAAAACAAAAACAAAATTAAGCATTAAAACGAAGAGGACTGTTGGATTTTAGAGCCTCAGATACGGGGCTTTTTTTAAAAGTCCATTTTTTTTTAAATTGTTAGAAAGATATGGCAATGACAAAGTAATATAAGTGATCTAATTAGATTATATTTTTTCTTGTTTTAAATTCTGGGTAATCTGTCCATTGAAGCTACTTGGCTGGGGAAGCAATTGAAAGTGTCATTCCTCAGTATGCTTGAAATCTCTCATACCCTTCATGCCCAACTAAGATATATAAGAGAAAATCCTGTTAGTGGCCATCAGCAGCTGCTGGAGAATGCACCTTTATATCCAGATTCTGGAATCTTTCAGGCAACCCTGCCTTCTTCCTCTTTGACTTCTATTTCTCATTCAACTCACCAGATTATTGGGATAATCATGTGTGTGGAGAAGATTCTCAATCTCTTTGAGTTTCAGATTTCTCATCTGCAGAATTAAAGTGTGTACTTTTTTGAGGAAATAATACATGAACATACATAGAACAATGCCTGGCACAGCCTAAATGCTCCAGAAATGGGAACTATTATTTTTTCCTCAGACTTTTACCTTATTTTGAAAGTAAGCAGGCTGGGCACGGTGGCTCATGCCTATAATCTCAGCACTTTGGGAGGCCGAGGCAGGTGGATCACCTGAGGTCGGGAGTTCGAGACCAGCCTGACCAACATGCAGAAACCCCATCTCTACTTGTGGGCGGAAAGCCACCCAGGTGCTGAGGCAAGAGACTGAAGGCACAAGCTGTTCCAGTATAATAAAAGAAAATAATTAGAATACAAAAAGTTATACTAAAAATAAGATATAGACATGATTATATATGAATATTATCAATCTTTAGTTGGTAGTGTTGCTCTTTTAGTATTATAATAATCTCTGTTTTATAATCATAACCTAGAAAACACCAGGCCATACAGAGTCAGGAGCTGAAGGGACATGGTGAGAAGTAACCAAAGGACAAGAGTGTGAGCCCTCTGTCACGCCCGGATAAGGGCCGCTTGAGGGTTCCTTGGTCTAGCGGTAAGGTCAGTGCCTGGGAAAGCACCCATTACTTGGCAGACCTTGGTCTAGCGGTAGGGCCAGTGCCTGGGAAGGCACCCGTTACTCGGCAGACCTTGGTCTAGCGGTAGCGCCAGTGCCTGGGAAGGCACCCGTTACTTAGCAGACCGGGAAAGCGAGTCTCCCTTTCCCCGGGGGGAGTTAGAGAACACTGCTCCACCAACTCTTGTGGGAGTCCTGACATTAGCCAGGCCTGCCCGCAGTCATCTGGAGGCTTAAACATCTGTGGTGCTGTGCTTCAGTGGTCATGCTCCTTGTCCACTTTCATGTTCTGCCTGTACACCTGGCACCTCCTTTTAAGTTCTTAAAAGATAGCAGTAACAAAATTAGTGAAAGTACTAAAGTCTTTGATCTTCCTGATAAGTGCACAGAAGAAATGCTGACATATACTGTCCTCCCTCTCTGCTTCAGCTATCACAAAGGGAAAGGCCCCCCGTCACGTGGACACGTGACTTGCTTGACCTTATTAATCATTTGAGATGACTCAAACTCCTTACCCTGCCCCCTTGCCTTGCATACAATAAATAGCAGTGTGTCCAGGCATTCAGGGTCACTACCAGGCTTCGCGCATTGGTGGTAGTGGTCCCCTGGGCCCAGCTGTGTTTCCTTCTATTTCTTTGTCTCATGTCTATTTTTCTACAATCTCTCATCTCTGCACACTAAGGAAAAACCCACAGGCCCTGTAGGGCTGGACCCTACACTACTAAAAATACAAAATTAGCGGGGCATGGTGCATGCTTGTAATCCCAGCTACTTCGGAGGCTGAGGCAGGAGAATCACTTGAACCTAGGAGACGGAGGTTGCAGTGAGCTGAGATTGAGCCATTGCACTCCAGCCTGGGCTACAAAAGCAAAGCTCTGTTTCAAAAAAAAAAAAAGAAGAAAGAAAAAGAAAGTATAGGGCATTAATTATAGTAACTTGTGCACAGTTTCATCATTTGTGCCAAATGATCATGTAACAAAATTATGACTATGCCTATTGTGTATTATGTGTGTGTGCACATTAACTATCAAAATGTCCATATTTTGTATCTGCAACAAACTTATATATTGGCAGCAACTACAGCGCTATTGGCCAATTACAACAACAACATGAAACACAGACACCGAGAGAAGAAACGTTATCTAAACCCAAAGTGTGAGTGTCTCAGAGCACATATTTTCCAAATGTCAGTTAACAGGGAAAACTAACAGATACCATAACCAGTGACATTCCCTCCCTGCCCTGAATTATGGTGAAAGTGTATGAATTATATGCCCCATTTTCAGCTATACAATTTAGAGCTCCACTGGAGTTCTGTGGAAGACCAAGTGAGGAGCTTTCAGTTTTGGAAAGTAGATACTCATATGACATAAATGGTCTAGATTCAGGAAAAAGAACAGCTAGGCCTTGGTGATGGCTTCTGAATGCAGTTTGTACAATTTACAACTCAAGTGTCATGTGATATCATTTCTGTGGGGATTCTCGTTCAAAAATAATGAGACTAATGTTGATAAACGATCGAGATTTTTATTATGAGTTTCCGTAAAGGTGTAACACAGGGGTCTCTCCCAGAAAAATAGAAAGTAAAGCTTCCAACAATACTTCTCTATATCTCTCCTCCCTCCAAAGTTCCCTACTTATGACGGCTGCTAAAATTCTCCTCCTCTTTCAATCTCCCAATCCTTCCATGTTGTTATCTCACAGTTTTCTTTCTACCCTGTTCACTACCTTCTTCCCACATGGTGTAAAAGTGAGAAGCTTCTCTTGTACCCCTGCCCACCAACCATACATAGAAGACAGCTAATGGCCTCCCATTTCTCTCTCTCTTCTTGGCAAGAAGCATGTAGCATCCCCTACAAAGTATATTTTTCTCCTCCTGAATGATTTTTGCATGAGACATTTTCTTACAGAGAAATTCCGGGGACTAACATTCTCTACTTTGTTTTATGTATATATAATAAAGTATATAATATACATATAAAACAAAGGTGTATATATAAAGCCAGATATATATATCTGACTCATTGCAGCCTCAACCACCTGGGCTCAAGCAATCCTCCCACCTCAGCTTCCTGAGCAGCTAGGACTACAAGGCTGTGTCACCATGCCGGGCTAATTTCTAATTATTTTGTAGAGATAGGGTATCTCTATGCACCCAGGCTGATCTCAAACTCCCGTCTCAAACGATCCTCCTGCTTTGGCCTCCCAAAGTCCTGGGATTATAGGCATGAGCCACCACACCTGCCCCTTCTACTCTGTTGTATTTAGAAGGAGAGAATCTTATGGGAGAAATTCCTGTTTTAACTTGTTTTAATCTATTACATAGAAACTGTCTACAGGACTATACTAGATTTCTACTTTTCGTTAGTGAAGAAGAAAGTTGTTATACGGAAAAATCTTTTAATTTTTTCATTTTTTTGAGACAGACTCTCACTCTGTCGCTGTGCTAGAGTGCAGTGGCACGATCTCTCCCTATGTTTTCTCCTATTAGTTTTATAGTTTCAGGTTTTTAAGTCTTTAGTCCATTTTGAGTTGATTTTTGTATATGGTGTACCACAAGCTTTGTAAACACCCTGCCATCATAGTGGTGCTCTGACTTATCAATATTCTTTTTTAAAAGTGTGTCCTTTCTAACTGAATTAGTATGTTCAACAATTTTATTTATTTATTTATTTATTTTTGAGACAGAGTCTCACTCTGCTGCCCAGGCTGGAGTGTGTAAGTGGCACAATTATGGCTCACTGCAGGCTTGACCTCCTAGGCCCAAGTGGTCCTCCTGCCTCAGCCTCCTGAGTAGCTAGGACCACAGGCACACGCCACCACACCTGGCTAATTTTTTAACTTTTTGTACAGACAAGGTCTCACTCTGTTGCCCAGGTTGGTCTCAAATTCCTGGGCTTAAGTGATCCTCCCACCTTGGCCTCCAAAACTGTTGGGATTACAGGTGTGAGCCACTGTGTCTGCCCCAACAACATTTTTTGTCTAGCTTTTTCTCTTTTAAAGAAACAGTTGTGTTTTACATTTTTCAGGTAATTGAAGTTTATCCTTTCAACTAGTAAAAAAAGTTTTAAAACCAATCCTTTGTAACACAGAAATACCCCTTCGTATGATCTTTTAACTTAGTTTTATACATAAAAATAAATCTAGGCTGGGCATGGTGGCTCACACCTGTAATCCCAGCACTTTGGGAGGCCAAGGCTGGAGGATTACTTGAGAGACCAACCTGGGCAACACAGCAAGACTTCACCTCTACTAAAAATTTTAAAAAATTAGCCCGGTGTGGTGGTGCACTCCTGTAATCCCAGCTGCTTGGGAGGCTAATGCAGGAGGGTCACTTGAGCCTAGGAGGTCAAGGCTGCAGTGAGCTGTAATTGCACCACTGCATTCTAGCCTGGGCAACAGAGTGAGACCCTGTCTCAAATGAATGAACGAATACATAAATCTACCTTCTAGAACCATAGTATAGTAACTTTGTCTCCTTCCAGCAGATGGCACTGAAGATTGTGCACAGTAATTTAGTAATTTTAGTCTAGGGCAGTGCTTCCCAGCCTCTTCATGTTATAACATAGCTAGAAAATAAGGATATTTTTGTTGGGTAAAAGACAAGGATGCTTGCAGCCAAAGGAGACTAGCCTGAGGATCACTTGAGTACCCCCTAGTTGTCCCAATGTCTGAAGAGGATTAATATCTTAATACATCTTTTAATGAATTGCACTCATTCAGTGTGCCCTGGTGTAGTGGTGCCCTGATGTAGGTCATCTTTTTATTAATTTGGGGCCTATTATGAGTTTATGTTTTAAAATGTGCTTTATAAATATTAATCCCAACATTGATGTCAGTGAGAAAGCAGTGAGAATTTTGAAGGTGGTAGTAAGAGTGATGTGAAGATTAAAAAAGCAGAGATTGAAAAATGAAAATTCATAGTAATAAATATACAATAAAGTGGTATGACCCAGTTGAAATTGGGAACAATTCTGAAAAGCAAAGAGTGACTCATGCCATATGAAAATGCCATTTGCTATGGACTGAATTCTGTACCTCCAAAATCCATATGTTGAAGCCCTAACCCCACATGTAACTATATTGAAGAGAGGGCCTTTAAGGAGGTGATTAAGGTTAAATGCAGTCGTAAAGGCAGAGCCTTGTCCAATAGAACTGGTGCCCTTATACCGAGACACCAGACAACTTTCTCTCTCCCCATCTCTGCCTGCCATGTATGGACCAGTGAGAAGGTGGCCATCTACAAGCCAGGAGGAGAACCTTTACCAGAACCTGATCATGCTGGCACTCTCATCTCAGACTTCCAGCTTCCAGAATTGTGGGAAAACACATTTCTGTTGTTTAAGCCACCTCGTTTAAGGTATTTTGTTATGGTGGCCAAAGCAGACTAATTCACCATTTTTATATAACAATAATCAGTAAGAAGAAAAGTAATTGACAAAATGTACACACTGTTGACCATGTGATGAGAGGATCAGTGTCAACTCTGGGCACCCATTAACCCATTAGGAGATGGTTCAAGTATCTTAAAGGCCTAAGAAAGTAAAGTTATGGAAAGCAAGAGCGCTAGGCACATTTTAATCTGTACAACATCAACATGAGTGGTAGCAGGTGTGAATATACGCCAGCTGCTAAGAAGTTCCTTTAGGCTCATTAAGGAGGGGCATTTCCTTCCTTAAGGGACTTCAAATGTAAATCCAACAAAAAATGCCCTTTGGAACCTTGCTACTCAAAGTGTGGTCCATGGATCAGCAGCATCAGCATCAGCATCACCTGGGAGCTTGCTAGAAATGCAGATTCTCAGGTCATTCTAACCCTACCCAATAAGCATCTTCATTTTAACGTGATCATCAAGAGATTCATATGCGCCTTAGTCTGGGTTGCACCACTATACAACTTATATCAGTAAAAAGAAGAGTAAGCTTTGTTCTAAAGTTTCAAAGGACTGCCTCACTTTTCTGTTTTCTGGAAATGCATATGTGGCTTACTCCGAACTTGTGAGTATTGGGACTTACGAACAATGGAAATTTTGGAACCTAACCTGTTCATATGTAAGAGTTTCTAAAGTTCCAAAATGGGTTCTGTATTCCTCTGGTCTTCTGAAACAGAGTACAGAACATAATTTAATTTTTCTTTGCAATTGAGGACCAAATCTATGAATATCTGTTTTGGTCCTGATATATGGTGATGTCATAAAGCGCTTTCAAGTTATAAAGCAGGTGTTCGGTATGTGACAGTTCCCTTCACTTTATTTCCTTCAGAATACTAGGTTATAAATTTCTCAGATGGCAGAGACTTGTGGACTATGTTTATCATATTTCCAGTGGAATACATAGGGTTGTTCAATGTAACTAATTGTGTCAGAATACCGTGCATTTTTAATTCATTTTTCTAATTGTCTTGTTTTTCCTGTGCTTATTCTGCCAACTAATAGAGATTGCTCCTCTCAAACTACCTATATTAACAGCATTTCCTTCCCTTGCCTTGTGATTCATAGTTTCTAATCTGCTGTGGACTAGTTAAGTGTCTAACTACAGAAATTACAGCATGTCTGAAACAACAGCCAAATAGTTTATGTGACAATCAGAGAATTTCCTGTAAGTGCATGCACTATTGTTCATGAGTTGACTATGTGGTAATTATTTGCCAATAATCTCATCTTTTATTTTTCTTTTAGTATCTTAGTTGTGTTTTAGACCACTGAAATGTAAATGAGAGTTAAATGACATCAACATAAGTGATCAAATATTATTAAAGTCAGTGAAATTATTTATTCTCATGATAATGCGTGGTGAAACTCAACTGGAATGCCATAATGAAAAGAAGAAACAAAGATTCACTAAGAGCAAAAAAAAAAAAAAAAAAACACAGCCAGGATTGTTTTTAATTCAAGAAATACAAATACAAGTCAGTAGGAATATATAGAAAAGTTTCTGCATACCTTTGAAAACAGACCATATCTTATTCATTTTTGTATCCCCAATACCTAGCCTATTATAAATGTAATAAATCTGTAAATGGATCAGATAAAGGAGGAAAAAGCAGAAAACTGTTTCTTCATATTGGGAGATGGACACCTAATAGAGAATGCCACTAAAAGGGAAGGAGTGATCTACAAACGCCAAATGTGATTTACAAACTAGAGAATAAAAACCCTAGTGAGAAATATGGAAAGCCAGGCTACGATAAAGAATTGACATTTCTTGGCTGGGCATGGTGGCTCACGTCTGTAATCCCAGCACTTTGGGAGGCCGAGGCAGGCAGATCACCTGAGGTCAGGAGTTTGAGACCACCCTGGCCAACATGGTGAAACCCCATTATCTACTAAAAATACAACAATTAGCCAGGAGTGATGGTGCATACCTGTAGCCCCAGCTACTCAGGAGGCTGAGGCAGGAGAATCGCTTGAACCCAGGAGGTGGAGGTTACAGAGAGCCAAGATGGCGCCACTGTACTCCCGACTGGGTGACAGTCTCAAAAAAAAAAAAAGAGCTGACATTTCTTGAGCTAGAGATAGGCGTTCAGTTGTCCAAGGCTCCCACTTCTGTTATAGAGAATAGAGTCCTAAGTTGGGGATGACAAATAGTAACACACGTATTATTTCACTTCCATATATGCAGCAGAGATTAATTCAATTACCCACTCTTTCTCACTGAACAGACTTGGCCTCAGCATCTGCATCAACACTATACCTCAGAGAATCTGAGTTGACATAGGAAACATCATAATTGGCATTTGTGACACTGTAATCACAAATCTACAAAATATCACTTTTATTGGTCTGTAAAAGATTGAAGAGATGTCCTGAAAGAAAGGACCATCATCTTCCAAAGTAAGAGAATGAACCAATTCAGCTTAACTCTGCTATTCAAAAGCAGTGGTCCTCAAACTTCCCCATGCATCAGAATTGCCTGGAGAGCTTGCTGTAGGGCCCTATCTCCACCACTTCTGAATCAGTATACGGTCCAGGGTTTGGGCCCACAAATCTGCATTTCAAAAACTCTGAGATCTACCATTGTAGAGTACACTGGAACAAATTCTAAATATGAAAAACTGAAAATCTTTTGACAGCAAGACAGTAAATCATAACTAGCATAGCTTTATGAAGAAAAATGTAAATTAACCCAGTATAGTTTATAGTAAAGCAATGGTCTGGAGCTAAATAATCCTTGGTTTGACCGCTGGTTCTGCTAATTCCAGGTTCATGATTTTTACTAAGATTACTTCAGCTCTATAAACATTAGTTTCTTCACAGATAAAATAGGGATAAGAAAAATATCCCATGGAGTTATTGTTAGGATTAAATAGAAAAAAATACATATCTAGATTTACAAGCACAGTGCCTAGTAGATGGTTCAATCCTATTCATTCAATTCTTCATCCTTTTTTCACTTATAGTAGTAATGGAAATTAAAGCAAAAGAGTGAAATATTTTCATAAAGGTTGTAGTGTTTGTCAGGAGGAAAAATATCTACCTTCTAGAAGGGGTGCCACGGCAGCGACAGCACAAGGCCCGTGCGTCTGGGGTTCCTGTAACAAAAGAAAGGCATATGAATGTATGATATTTAATGTAAGTTTTACATGGCACCAGAGCCTTCATAAGGAAACGAAGACCTGAAGAAACCTGAGCGTTTTATACCAAGCTTGATGAAGAGTAGACTGTTATGGAAAACTGTGATAAGACAAAAAGATGGGCTAAGGGCAGTAAACTGGGGGAAACCTACCAAGGCCTATTCATTTAGATTCCTCTTGGCGTCTCTCTGTCTTCACAAATAAGACTGCTTCTTTTCTCCAGGTATAGAGAGGGCATCTCTCACATGAGGGTCTTATGACCTGCTTCATGGGAAGGTCAGAGTCCTCACACCTGCCATTTCTCAAATTCCATCAGCTTAAAACATTCAATATGCCAAGGTGTTATATTTTGGGGTAGTGTGCCCTGAACACCATCATAAACATGCTAGAAAAATTCTACAGCAAATTAGTGGACAAGGGGAAGGAGCTTAGGTATTAAAGATTGTGGAGAAGATCTATTAAAACACAGGGCCCCAATCCTCCTCTTAAGGAGTCTCCCCTTAAGAGACAGGGTTCACTTTCATCCCATATACTTCTGATTAAAAGGAGCCTCTTATACCCAGGAGAATACATTCCAGGTGCAGAAAGCCAATTACCTAGTTATTCCCTTACCCACGTAATTATAGACCTTAATCCAAATTCAAAGGACTCCTGGGAGATGCTGGAATCTGTAATTGTGTAATCTCTTTGATGAAGCACAGAGTGTGATCTTTTGCTCATGTGGGGCTAGGTTTCTGTGGAGAAGCTGGAAATGCTGTGGAAAAGGGCTTGCCCCTTTTGTGTATATGAACTCTAATGTAGTTGAAATTCCTAGAAGTCAAAGATATAAATCTAACTACTAAAATTCATTTAGTGCATTAAAATGCCAGTTATTAATTTACGGCAACAACTAAAGGGAAGCTTTGTATTATTCTAGGACTACAATGCAATTTATGCTTTGCATAATCATTCAGTAAATGACTTATTGCTCCAGAAATACCATCTTGCTAGATCCCATTCTGAATTCAGTGTTTCTGAGCAATCTCATCTCCAATACAGAGTGATGACATACTCAGGATTCCAAGACGGCAAAATGACTTGGGTAATGTAGTCTAGGGCCTGCCAGTGAGTATGCTGAGACAGACCAGAAAGACTTAAAGATTCCACTAATGTAGACAAAGCAAGCTGAGCCACAACTTCTCGGAACACCAACAGGATGCACCAACAATCGACAAAAAAAAAAAAAAAAAAGGAGATAAAGTTTAAAGTTTGTCTTCCAGCATTCCCTTACCCTATTTTCCCCTTCCTCTTCCCTACTTTATCAGTGGGAAAAGTTCTCAATAATGCAATTCTTACTGAGATTCTTGTGTTTATCAGAGAAATGTTTCCTCTTTCTTTGCCAAGGAATTATATATTCCCAACAGACATGGCGCTTGAATGCTATATTTCCTTTGGAATCAAGAAAGGGGAGGTGGGGGAATCAAAAATTAAAAACCAAACCCAAGCCATTGTTCCTCTTCGAGGAAGGGTGGGTGGTCAGTCGTCGCCTGAGCTCCGAACATCAACCCGCGGCTCTCAAGTTCCCCTCCCAGTAATGCTGGGCCCAGCCTCGCCGCGGCCGATCCAGCCTCTGCCCTAGGTGGAAGCGGGCCACCCGGTCCCTTCACCCACTGAGGCCCAGTCCTTTCGCCTCAACACGAAGGCACCTGGCCGGGCCGGAGCAGCAGCCGCGGGGCCGGCACTGGGGCCACGGAACCCCGGGCCAGACTCAGGCCTGGGCCAGCTCGGCTCCGGCCTGCAGGGGGCGCTGCGGCGGCACCGGCGCGAGGCCCGCGCGTGCGGGGAGCGACCCCAGGTGTAAGTCCCGGGGCGTGGGGCGCGTGGGTCAAGGCGGAGCGACCCAGGATCCCCGCGCCCGCGGCGGCCGCCGAGTGGCAGCGCTGGACTCGCGGAGAAGCTTGGGTACCTGAGCCGCGGTCCCGGGTGACACCCTCAGTGACGCCAGGCGCGTTCCTTCCTCTTCCTCTCTCCTCTCCGGCCCCGCCTTCCCTTCCCTCCGCCCACCTCCCTGAAGCGGAGCCGCCGTCGCCACCAGCGCCGTCATGTCGGCCCCCGCCGGGTCCTCTCACCCGGCCGCCAGCGCCCGGATCCCGCCCAAGTTCGGCGGAGCGGCCGTCTCAGGAGCCGCAGCGCCCGCGGGCCCGGGTGCGGGCCCGGCGCCGCACCAGCAGAACGGTGAGGCGGGCGGCCCGGGCGGAGCGCGGGGCCTAGCACCGGCTGGGCGGCCTGCACGGCCACATCGGGGCGGGGCGGGCCGGGCCGGGAAGGGCGTTCGGGGCCAGGCCCGGCCCGAGGGACGGGAGCGGGCGCGGTGCGGAGGCCGCGGGGTCCGGGTTGGGTGCGGGTAGGGGGCAGGGAAGGCACGGCGCGGGGCGCGCGGGGGTGGGACGCCCCTGGCGTGGGGGCGGGGGCCGGCCTGGGAAAGCTGGGGCCGTGGCTGTTTATGTAATGCGACCCCAGGCCCGAAACGGCCTCGGGCGAGTAGGGGCGACTGAAAAGCTGGGAGCCCACGTAGTAAAACCCAGTTACCTAGCCTGGACGCGGGCGAGTTGCCCCGAGCGACCCCTTGGCTGCGAGAGCTGGCCAGAAGCCGAGGCCGCTGAGTGCGTGGTCCGGAGAAGGCTGGTGCAGCCACCCAGCAGGGTGGATTGTGCCCTTCCTGTCTCAGGAAAATTGCTTCGGTTCCCGAGGCCCAGCGAACACGCTGCCTTGAGGAAACTTAAGTTTGCACTCAAGTTTGTAGACAAAAGGGTGTAAATATGCTATATAAGTGTAACTGTAACCCTGACCCAGTTCGGCCTCAAGAACTGTCATTGCCGCTGCGGCTGCTGCTCAAGCTTTTGGAGTTTGCTTGTAGTGTTTGAAAGGGAGCAGATGTAAACGGATTTAAACGAACATCTTTAGATCTGGGTGTTTTTCCTAGCTCCACTTTCAGAGATGAAAAAACGTGCCAGAGTTGGCCCTGCTTTGAGGCAGGGCCTTCATACAGGCAGCAGCCAAATGCAGCACGAAAGCCGCTTTCATATTAAGGTCGTGGGCTTTTAGTAGGCTGCAAAATGATGGATATGCATTCCCTAATGCTGAGATTTGGAATGTTCGCGGATAGGGGCCAAGGGTGGAGGAATTCTCCTTACAGACTTCTTAGTATGTCAGATGAGAACCTTGGAAAGTAATTGACTGAATTTAGAAAAATACCTCTGTCCTGTGTTGGTACGAGAACCAAACTGCATTAGTACTCTCCAGATGATTGACCTGTTTTATCTAATTTCCTAATGAAAATCTGCTGGACTTTATGAATTAGTTTAATCAACATCTAAGTTTTACAACTGATGCTTT
This sequence comes from Homo sapiens, assembly GCF_000001405.40. Taxonomy (NCBI): domain Eukaryota; kingdom Metazoa; phylum Chordata; class Mammalia; order Primates; family Hominidae; genus Homo; species Homo sapiens. The sequence continues at coordinate 109,435,164 of NC_000004.12, forward strand.
TCAAACATGAAGTGTATCGTTTGTCCTGAGGATCAGAAGTTGAGTGATACTTTAGCCTTAATATTCTTTGGATCAGCCTTACCTATCAGTATTACATGCTGTACTCTCAGTAGTCATTGTTTACTATAATCGCTTTTGGATATAAACCTGTTCTGAACAAATGTAAAAATACTATTTGTGAGCAGTGTTTGTTCTTGTAACCTTAATATAAGTTCTTGTTTTTGTTTGTTTTTAAAATAGCTTTATGAAGGAACTAGAACACGATAATTTAGTAAAAGAGCCCAAGTCTTTTAGAACATTGTAGACTCATGTTTACCAGTGATTCAAGGATTGTGTCTTTCCTTGATTTTCTGAATATGCATTATCATCTTAGTGAACAGTTTTTAAAGTGGCAAATGTTTATTACAGCCTTATAAATTTTGTGAACACTCAAGAATGCCAGGATATGTACTCAGCCAAGTGTAATCAGGATGTTAAAATCTGTAAGAACAAATCAATGTTTTGATGCCAAATATAGATGATGCTTGAGTTCTCTTGTTTATAATCACTACTTTCCTTTAATGTTGCAATAATCATTTCAACATTTATTGCATGCTTACCAGTTGGGGACTCAAGGTTAGGGTAGCAGATGAGACAGAGTCCCTGCCTCTCTCCTGACTTGCCCTGTATTTGGTAATGTTTGAATTGGTTCTGGCTAGCCTTGAGGGACTCGACAGGTTGGGGTGGGAGGGAAAGGTTGACTCTAGGCAGAGGTTACAGCATGAACTAAAGTTTGGAAATATGAAAGTGCAGGGCATGCTTGGAAAGTGGAAGGAGTCAAGAGGTGCAGAGGGTGCTGGGTGGCATGGGAAGCCAAGGCATCGAAGCCGAAAGGAGCAGGTTAAAAGGGGTCAGGTTGCAGAAAGGCCTTAAATGTTATGCTAGGAAATTTGAAAGTTATGGTAAAGTGTAAGAACTAGGGTCAGGTAGAGTACGAGGTCTCCCTGTGTTGCCCAGGCTGGTCTGCTGGGCTCAGGTGATCCTCACACCTTATCCTCCAGAAGGATTTTTGTTTTTGTGGAAGGGATTAGTTTAAGTAGAGAAACAAGATTAAATCTCTTTTTGTTTTGTTTGCTAATCTCAAAAAAAAAAAGTTTGCTACGTGGTATCAGCATGTAGTAAGCAGTCATTTGGGTTTCTCATTTATTTTTCAGTCCTACAAAAGTAGTTAGCCTTTTAATATATCTCTATGGAATTCCAGACATGGTGAAAAAGAAATAGGTCAGAAATATGAGCATAAAACAGACAGAATTGTAAAACTGGAATGGTACCTAGAAATCACTCACTTCAGTGTTGTGGTGTGATATGAAATACGTTTGGCCTTTGTCCTGGGTTCCTGTAACAGCTCCTAAAACCCTTGTAATTTCCTGAGTGATAGGAGTGTCGCTTGCTACTCATAAGGAGTCTTTTGATCACATTTGAGTTTGTGCTAATGAGATGACTTAGGATGGGTCTCCTAGACAGCCTCAGGCTGGAGCTGGTAACCAGAAAGACCAAGTAATTAGAGAGTTGGGACTTTGAGTCCCCACCCATCATCCCCTTTGAAGGGGAGTGGATAGGCTGGAGATGAAGCTTTATAAAAACTCTGGAACAGTAAGATTTGGTGACCTTCTGGGTTGCTGAACATGTGGAGATGCTGGGAGGGTGGCGGCACCTGCCCCCATCCTTTGCCCTGTACATCTCTTTCATTTGGCTGTTCATCTGTATCCTTTGTAATATCCTTTATAATAAACAATAAATTTAAATGTTTTCCTGACTTCCACAAGCCCTTCTACCAAAGTAATTGAACCTAAGGAGGGGGTAGTAGAAACTCCAGTTTGTAACTGGTTCCTCAGAAGTACAGATGGCAACCTGCTACTTGTGATACTTATGATAGGCATCTGAAGTGGGGAGCCATCTTGTGGGACTGAACCCTTAATCTGTGGGATCCGAGTCTAACTTCAGGTAGGTAGTGTCAGAATTGAATTGAGTTGGAGGACCCCCAGTTGGTGTCTGTTGGGGAAAAATAAAAACAAAAATTCACACATCTGGTCACAGAAGTGGTCTGTGCAGAATGAGAGTAGAGTGAAAGAAGTTTTTTGTTTTTTATTGTTTGTTTTAGAGACAGGGTGTCACTCTGCCACCCAGGCTGGAGTCAGTGACTCCATCATAGCTAACTGCAGCCTCAACCTCCTGGGCTCAAGTGATCCTCCTGCCTCAGCTTCCCAAGTAGCTAGGACTATAGGCATGCACTACCACTCCTGGCTAATTATTTTTATTTTTATTTTTGTAGAGACTGAGTCTCACCATGTTGCCCAGGCTGTTCTCTAACTCCTGGCCTCAAGTGATCGTCCTGGCTAGACCTACCAAAGTCTTGCGATTATAGGTGTGAGCCACTGGGCTGGGCCCTGTTTTTTCTTTTACAAGTGGTTAGCAAATGGCAAACTTTTTTTGTTTGTTTGAGACGGAGTCTCGCTGTGTCGCCCAGGCTGGAGTGCAGTGGCACGATCTCAGCTCACTGCAACCTCCACCTCCTGGGTTCAAGCGATTCTCCTGCCTCAGCCTGCTGAGTAGCTGGGCCTACAGGCGCACACCACCACTCCTGGGTAATTTTTGTATTTTTAGTAGAGATGGAGTTTCACCATGTTGGCCAGGATGGTCTCCATCTCCTGACCTTGTGATCCACCTGCCTCGGCCTCCCAGAGTGCTCGGATTACAGACGTGAGCCACCGTGCCTGGCCCACAAACGTTTTTTAAGATTTGTTTTTCCAAAGGATATTGTATATAGATCCCTGATAGAGAAATCAGAAAAAAGCAAAGTGGTTGCGGTTAAAATAGAAGTAGAAGTTCAGTTGTTTTTAAGCACAGTTTGAAAAACACATAGTTTGGATCCCTACCTTTACAGATGAAATGAAGATTCAGAAAGGTTAAGTAGGTACATTTTCTACCAATTCTGTGAAAGCTTTGTGAGGGTGGCAGTTTTTTCTGTCTCTTGTTCACGTTGTATAATAAGAGCCTAGAACAGTATAGGCAAGTTACAGGTATTCATTAGACATGTATTAAATGAAGTCCATTTTATTTTTGCTAATTCCAACTCTAGATCTCTTCTTAAAACTTTTTGTCTGTTTGTTTATTTATTTATTTATTTTAGAGACAGAATCTCACTCTGTCACCCAAGCTGGAGTACAGTGTTGCCATCATAGCTCACTGCAGCCTTGAACTCCTGGGCTCAAGCAGTCTTCCCACCATGGCTTCCTGAGTAGCTGGGACTATAGGTGTGTGACACCATACCCAGCTAACTTTTAAAAAAAAATTTGTAGAGACTGATCTCAAACTCCTGGCTTCAAGTGATCCTCCCATCTAGACTTCCCAAAGTGCTGGGATTACAGGCATGAGCCACCATGCCCAGCCTAAAGATCTCTTTCTGTTAACAGACTCTAAGAAAATTCTTTTTAGAAACTTTGATGTTTGAGAAGAAAGGAATAGAGAGGCAGAAAACCTAGTCTTCATGATCACTTTTACTTGTTTTCTAGGTGTAACTGCTAGCATGTTTCCTCCACTTATTCGAAGATACAGCTTGACTTGATTTCAAGTCTGTGAAATCTTTCTCTTAAGCTTCCTTCCTTGGTGTTGTATTTCTATCCTTCATTTTTCATTGAGCAATATATGGATTTTTAAAACTATTTGTATTTCCATACCAAGCATTAATTGAATATTTCTTACCTTTTACTCTGCCTTTTGGGATTCCTTCCAAAGCTGAGTCCTCAAACGTAGGAAGACTGACTAAAGTAATAGCCTGGTAATGAACTTGTTGGGAGGTGAGGGGATGGGGCAGTCAGATTTAATAATAAGCTGCTGCTTTTTAATTTTACTTTTAGGAAGCAAATGGTGTTCATTTTCAAATGAAAGTATATTTTAATCCTTCCATATGCCCTTTTCCAGAATGAAACTACAGTTTTATCACTTTAATTGTTAATAATGCAAGAAAGATGAGATAGTAATGGGAATTACTAGAACTCACTATGGAAGATGTAAATAAACATACCATTCATACAGCAGTACTATCGGGTCAGTCACTGGAAACCCTTAAACTTTGAGGGCACATGCAGCATTTAAAATGATATAAATCTCCCTAGTGTATCTCAAATAAGTTCCTTTTGATCAGAGCCACATCAGTGTCTCAGGTTTCTAGTCTCCATTTATAGCTAACCGGAAGCATCAGGTCCTCTCATGAATATACCCCTGTGGTATTAAAGTGACTGTGTCTGAATACATAATTTCCTCCTAAGCTGATTTTTTTTTTTTTTTTTTTTTTTTTTTTTTTTTTTTTTTTTTTTTGAGACTGAGTTTCAGTCTTGTTGACCAGGCTGGAATACAATGGCACAATCTCAGCTCACTGCAACCTCCGCCTCCCGGGTTCAAGCGATTCTCCTGCTCAGCCTCCCGAGTAGCTGGGATTACAGGCATGCGCCACCATGCCTGGCTAATTTTGTATTTTTAGTAGAGACAGGGTTTCACTATATTGATCAGGCTGGTCTTGAACTGCTGACCTCAGATGATCCACCCGCCTTAGCCTCCCAAAGTGCTGGGATTACAGGCGTGAGCCACTGAGCCTGGCTCTAAGCTGATTGATAGATATCTCAAAGATCTTAAAGTAGGCCGAGCATGGTGGCTTACGCCTGTAATCCAAGCACTTTGGGAGGCTGAGGCGGGCGGATCACTTGAGGTCAGGAGTTTGAGACCAGCCTGGACGACAGGATGAAACCCGTCTCTACTAAAAATACAAAAATTAGCCAGGCGTGGTGGCAGGTGCCTGTAATCCCAGCTACTCGGGAGGCTGAGGCAGGAGAATCACTTGAACCTGGGAGGTGGAGGTCGTGGTGAGCCAAGATTGTGCCATTGCACTCCAGCCTGGGGGACAAGAGCGAGACTTCGTCGCAAAAAAAAAAAAAAGATCTTAAAGTATTCACTCCATATGTAAACAAGGGTCTTATATCTGGGTTTAATTTTTATTTTTTATTGCTATATATATTGCTTTAGTTGTTTGCAGTGTCTTTTCACTCCCTTCCTCTCCCCCCAAGTTTCTGGGATTGTAGCAGTAATTAATTTTGTAAACCATATTCATTGCCACCACTAGTATTTCATGTTACTTTATCTTTCCAATTCATCTGTAATTCCTGAAGTATTTTATGCTAAAGGTATTAGAATAATTTTCTTTCCTAGAAATGAGGCATCTTCATTGTCAGCATTGTTAGAAAAGATCATGTTATATATATTCAGCCCTGGAGAAGCTACTATTTTCAATAGGCTGAGCATACTCAGAATTGTCCAGAAGGAGTGGACTAGTGAAAAGGTTGTAGGCTTTGATATAGCCCAAATTTTTGTGGAGAAACTTACTTAACATGCTTCAGAGTATAATAATACCTTTCTTACAGAGTTGTTTATAGAACTACATTTAATAAGGTACTATTTTTAAAGTACTTAGCCCTAGAAGGAGCTTAGCAATTAGAGTCCCTCCCTTCCATTTTCTTCAGAACACCGTTTTATAAATTCTTCAGGTGGCAGAAACCATATGAGTTTTCTTCATCATATGCCCAGTAGTAGCAGCTTGTAATAGGCACTCAGTTAAGTGAACTTGGTTTCCTATTCGTTATTGCTTTTGAAGACTGGCCACTGACAGGAGTCTGTGTGCCAGCTCCCTCTCCCCTTTTTTGTATTTAAGGCTCAATCACTATTTTAGTCTTCTCTTTATTTTCTTCTGCTTTCCAGTCCTCCATCCCTTATGTCCGCAAATGCATTCTTGGAAGGTTTCTGGTAATAGGCCATCTATTTTAGCTAGTTTGCTTATGGAAAGGTAAGTTTAATGGGTTTTAAGTTTTCTAAAATTGTGTGCCAGAAGTCATTTGTAACAGGAACTGAGGAAAAGCAGGATGAAGTAGCGAGAGGGAGTGGTAAAATCATGTCTTGCCTAGCCAGTGGCCAAGTCTTAACTTGTTTTCCTTAGGATTTCTGATTAATGGATATTGTGAAATGAGGTATAAGCCTGGCTTTGGAACCAGCAATGCCTGGCTTCTTTGCTCCTTACCAACGATTTGAATTCGTATGAATTAGTGGGCTTTCATGGCCCTGTTTATTTGTATATAAAAGATGATAGTGATACTTCACAGAATTGTTTGAGAAGCATATCAGATTATATGTAGAAAAGCAAGGTATCTGGCATGTAGTAGATTCTGAACCAATATTGATTTTCTTTTCTTTCTGTATTTTGAGACAGGGCCTCACTTTGTCACCCAGGCTGGAGTGCAGTGATATGATCACAGCTCACTGCAGTCTTGACCTCCCCGGGTTAAGGTGATTCTCCCACTTCAGCCTCCTGAGTAGCTAGGACTACAGGGGCATGCCACTATGCCCAGCTAATTTTTGTATTTTTTGTAGAGATGGGGTTTCACCATGTTGCCCAGGCTCAAGTGATTCTCCTACCTTGGCCTCCCAGAGTGCTGGGATTACAGCGTGAGCCACCATGTGTGGCCTTGGTTGTCTTTTGGCCCCTCACTCATAGCACTCATTGTCGTGGTATCCAAGAAGGATAATTGATGTTGTAGCAGGAATAATCTATACTTAATGCAGTGAGATTTAATCCAGTTGTTTACATAGCCTGTGTCTGTAGGCTCTGTCCGCCAGCGGTGACTGGAACAGTTACCTTCATCCTCAGGTATATTTGCAGTTTATGGAATGTAGGAGAGAAAGAATACAAGAAAACATTTCTCTCAGAGCTTGGGAAGAAGCTCTATAACTGTTATCCTTGCATTATGATAACCTAGGATATCCAGATGTAATCTGAGACTCCTCATTTTTGAAATCACCAAGGTTTGTAATTGCCTATTGCCTTAGGGGTGTGTGGGTGTGCAAGCATGCACATTTTTTATGCCCATTAAAAATCTGTATTTTGGCATTGTTAGTGATACCTTATTGGCAGGGAGAGTATATTAAAATATTCAGTAATCAGTACTGTGTATACTGACCACTAAATGGATACCATCCTTCATACCAGAGCAGGATCCTATAAGCTTTCAGCTGTGCCAGGCATTACTCCTTCAGCTGCGGATTATGAGAAGGTTTGGGCTAGCATGGTGGGGTAAAGCAGGGGAATAGGACCATGGCTATGACTCATTACCAACTGATTCAGAGCTATTTTAACATTTTAACAAAGATAATTGTTAAAATGAATACCTGGGTGCATACTGACTGAATATTGGCCTATTTCTTTGTAATTGAGTGATGAATGAATTCAGTGATTACATTCTTCGATCTGATTCTACCTCAAAGTTAGTATGAATTTATCTTAGTAGGATAAAGGAACTTGTACTTTGCTGACCTTGATGTTTGTGTTCAGATAATGGAAACTGAAATCTGACTTTGATCTGACTGAAAAAAAAAGTTGGAATTCAATTCAGGAAAATATTAATGAAACAACTATTTTTAATATTAAAATGTGTCTCAGGGAGGGGGAATGATCATGCTATTATGGAAATCTCAGGAGTAGTCAAATTAGAGATGTGGTTTTTGTTTTCTCTCTTCATTTTTTTCTTTTTAAACAATAATTGTAGTATGGTGGAAATCATGACTGTTACAATCTTATTCAGGTAACTTGCTTTATTTTTGTGTTTTCCTGTATGTTTATATTACTCATTTATCAATTTTGCACATTTTTACTAGGTTTGGTAACCTTTTTATGTCAAATGTTTTTTTCCCTATAAAATGGCTGTATTGTAATATTAGAATAATCCAATGTTGATGCTTTATTTTCCTTGAAGTTTCTCCAACTTTATATTTATGGTAATATCTCTTAAGTGAGCTCTCAGTACCAGTTAGTCCTGTGGTATTTCCCTGCTCCATTCCCAGTGTCACATGCTCCCCTTTTCCCTCAAATTCTCAGTATCCTGTCTCTCTGCCTCCCTTTCCAATGGTGACCTTACTTATTTTACTAAGAAATTGAAAGCAATCTGACAATCTGAAGATAAAGTATTAATCTTCTGCCACCAAATCTGTCAGTCTTCCTGCATATTATTCTTGTGTTATCTGAGACAAATTCAGATTATTTGGGTACAGAATTCTGTTCCCTCTCTTTTAAGAACTTTGTCCCTCCGATTATCTCATTTACCATCAATTTTGATCTTAAACACCTGAACCTTATTTTATGCAATGCATATGTAATCCTAACAGTTATATATAACTTTTATTTTAGAGACGAGATCTCACTGTGTTGCCTGGGATGGTCTCAAACTCCTAGGCTCAAGTGACCCTCCAACCTCTGCCTCCCAGAGTGCTGGGATTACAGGCATGAACCACCATGCCTGGCCTATAAATTTAATTTACAATTCCTAGCAAATATTTATGTAGCTCCTCTTTACATAACATTTTGTGCTAGATACTCTGGGCATACAAATGTGAATGTTCTCTGCACTCCAGGAGTTCTGTACCCCTCAGTAAAAGAGGAGAGGACTGTCAGCACTGAACATGTGTTTCCTTCATAAGGCCTGTGAGAAGGGTGCCCAGAGTTTTGAAGAGGAAACAATTCTTTTTGGTTAAAGTAATAGGGAATCTTAAGGGAGGAAGTTAGAACTTCAGCTATATCTAAAATGATGGACACATTTTGAATTGTCAGGTAAAAATGCATGAATCAAAGGTAAGGAATTTAAAAAACGTACTCTGAGCAGTGCAGGGGTACAAGGGAGAGAGAGTAATGAAAGAATGGTTTGGGCCCGGTGTGGTGGCTCATGCCTGTAATCCCAGCACTTTGGGAGGCTGAGGTGGGTGGATCACCTGAGGTCAGGAGTTCGAGACCAGCCTGGCCAACGTGGTAAAAACCCATCTCTACTAAAAATACAAAACTAGCTGGGTGTAGTGGCGAGTGCATGTAATCCCAGCTATTTGGGAGGCTGTGGCTGGAGAATTGTTGGAACCCGGGAGGTGGAGGTTGCAGTGAACCGTGATCATGCCATCGCCTGGGCAACAAGAGCTAAACTCCATCTCAAAAAAAAAAAAAAAAAAGAATAGTTTTTACAATTATGTTGGGGCTGCTAATGGAAGTTCCTAGAAATTGTCCTAAGAAGTTTAGACTTCATTTGGATCAAAGAAGAGCCATTAAAGATTGTGTGGTAAGGAATGTTAAAAAGTACTCTGGTGGTGTTAGTAATGAATTAGAGGGAAGTGAAAGTAGAATAAAGGGAAGTCAGGTAGAGAATTTTTCAAACCAAATCGTATTTCATATGCCCTAAAGAGATCCTGTGATTTTTTTTTTTTTTTTTTTTTGGTACAGGGACTAGACTTGCATGAAATATTTGTTTTATAAATTTTAATTTTCATGTTAGGTTTTCTTAAAGCAAGAGAATCAGTTTTCCTTTGGTGAGAATCTGGTGTCTGAAAGGAGGTTATGCTACTGAGACAGATATGTCCTGGGGGTAGATCTTGTGATAATTTAGTCCTGCTAAGGAGGGCATACATGCTTATAGAAAATCATAGGCTGTATCTTGCTGGCACATGATATATCAGTCAGGCTGACCAGCTGAGCAGCTCCATTGAAAATATTATAGACCATTTGTTAAAAATATTTTATTTCTTCATTCAGATTGGTACCAGTGAGTAGATAATGTGTCAGAATCATCTGTTTCCCTCTTTTATTTGACATAGTTCACTTGAAGCTAAGAATATAAAATTCTTTCAGAGATTATATAAAAACTGAATTTTTTTGTTTTGTTTGTTTTTGTTTTGACACAGGGTCTCACTCTGTCACCCAAGCTGGAGCGATCACTGCTCACTGCAACCTCGATCTCCTGGGGTCAGGTGATCCTCCCACCTCAGCCTCTTGAGTAGCTGGGACTACAGGTGTGCGCCACTACACCTATCTAATTTTATGTAATTTTTGTAGAGATGGAGTTTCACTCTGTTGTCCAGGCTGGTCTTGAACTCCTGGACTCAAGCAGTCTGCTGCCTCAGCCTCCCAAAGTGCTGGGATTACAAGCACGTCTGGCCATTTTTTTAGTTTTTTCTTTCTTTCTTTGTTTTTTTTTTTTTTTTTTTGAGACGGAGTCTTGTTCTGTCGCCCAGACTGGAGTGCAGTGGTGCAATCTCGGCTCACTGCAAGCTCCGCCTCCCAGCTTCACACCATTCTCCTGCCTCAGCCTCCCAAGCAGCTGGGACAACAGGCGCCCGCCACCACGCCCAGCTAATTTTTTTTTTTTTTTTTTGGATTTTTAGTAGAGATGGTGTTTCACTGTGTTAGCCAGGATGGTCTCGATCTGACCTCGTGATCCGCCCGTCTCAGCCTCCCAAAGTGCTGGGATTACAGGCGTGAGCCACGGCACCCAGCCTGTTATTTTTATTATTTTATTTTATTTATTTTTTTGAGACAGGGTCTCACTCTGTCACCCAGGCTGGAGTGCAGTGGTGCAATCTTGGCTCACTGCGGCCTCAATCTCCTGGGCTGAAGCAAGCCTAGCACCTCAGCCTCCCAAGTTACTGGGACTACAGGCACAAACCACCACACCTGCGTAATTTTTTATTTCATGTTTGTAGAGATGAAGTCTTACTATGTTGCCTGGGCTGGTCTCAAACTCCTGGACTCAAGCAATCCCCCTGCCTCAGCCTCCCAAAGTGCTGGGATCACAGGTGTGAGCCACCGCACCCAGCCTGTTTTAGTTTTTCAGTGATTATTTGATGCTTATGTAAGGCATTGTATTGGGCAATTTGGGGAGTGCAATAATCAAATTAATTTATTCTAAGATGCTTTTTTTTTTTTTTTTTACATTTTTTACCTCTGAAATTGGGGTGCATTTTAGAATCAGTGGAATTCTAAACTTGCTTTCCATAAAGTGAAATCATAATATAGTTGTGTGAGAATCTGCCATTGATACCTGATGTGGTAGGCTGAATAATGGGTTCCCCAGCTATGTCCATGTCCTAATCCCTGAAACCTTTGCAGCAGTGATTAAGTTAAGGATCTTGAGATGGGGTTTTCCTGGAACTTGGTAGGCCTGATACAATCACAGCAGTTCTTATTAGAGAGACACAGGACAAGTCAGAGCCAGCAGCGAAGGAAATGTGAAGACAGAAGCAGAAGTTAGAGTGATGTGCTTTGGAGATGGAAGGGGCCACAAGCCAAGGAATACCAGTGGCCACTAGAAGCTGGAAAAGGCAAGGAAACGGATTGTCTCTTCAGAGTGTCCAAAGGGAACCAGCCCTGTCCCTTGACACTTTGTAGCCCAGTGAAACTGATTTTGGACCTCTGACCTCCAGAACTCTAAGAGAATAAATTTGTGTTGTTGTAAACACTGACTTTGTTGTACTTTGTTATAGTAGCAGCAGGAACCTAATACACCTGTGAAGATAAATAGTGGCAGTATCAAAACACACCTTAGATATAATGAAATACGATAGATTTTCATTTCTTTTTGTTAAAAACACTTTTCTTATACGTGAACAGGGTAAAAAGTGTAACACGCCAAAGCAGAAAAAAGACCTGTTTTTGTATTATGGTATAAATTATTTTACATAGTGAAAGCTTTTAAAGTTTCATGTTCTTTGTGTTTAAGTAGCATGTAGTATTCCTTATTGATACATTGTGATAAGTGCCTGATACAGAAATACTTGATGATTATTTACTAGGCTTCATTTTATAAAAATACAGTAATAGTTTCCATCAGCCAGCCATTACACTAAGCTTTGGGGGATAGGATAGAGCTAAGAGCAAACTAGACTGAATTTTTTCACTTGCAGAATTTACAATTAGACAATTACAGTTCCATGTGAAAAGTTCTGTCATAAGGGTCCAAAATACTGTGGAAGCAATATTATATAATGGCATGCATTCACTTGTAGGATTAGAGAATGTTTTCCTAGAGAAGAGCTGAGCTGAGATCTGAAGAATAAGTTAAGAATTGGTCAGGTGAAGCAGAAGAGGGTATTTTGGAAGGTTCCATATACAGGGAAAAGCCTATCTGAAGATTGAGAGGTGAAGAAGCATGGCTTGAAAAAAATTTAGCATGATAAGGATGTGTGTAGAACAGTGATTCTCAGCCTTTTCATACTCATGGCTACTTTAGTGCTAAAATTTTTGGTGGCATTCTTAAAGGAATTACACTTTGAACACTTGTATTAAAAAAAAAGTTTCAAAAAAGGTATCACATACTCACTTGATCCCCTTCAGAAGCCTCTAAAAGACAGCTTAAAGTAAAACTGTCTTCTGCCCTGATGAACCTCTTTTAGGGCCTCTTGAGGTGAAACTCAAGCATACAATCTTAGTTGATGTTGTACTGTGGCTTCTTTGCTTTTTTGTGGCAAACAGTATTTTTTTCCCACCAGCTCAGCATTCTATTTGACTTCACCATATCAGTAAGCATCTTAAGTGTAGCAAAATTAAATTTTATTTATTGATCAAATGTTGGCAGAGGCATGTGGAAGACTACTAGTATACTAGTATATTAAGGCATACCTCTTGAAAATTATTGTATGAAGAGGTGGTGAGTGATAAAGCAGGAGTGGTAAGCAGAGGTCAGATGATGGAGAGTCTTTGCATTGTTTTCTATTTACTGCTGTAACAAATGACCACAAATTGGTGGCTTCAAACAACATGAATTTATCACCTATAGGTTAGAAGTCCACCTGAGCTAAAACCAAGGCATCTACAGGGCTGCATTCCCTTCTAGAGAATCTAAGGGAGAATTAATTTCTTGCCTTTGTCAGCTAGCTTCTGGATGCTGCCCACATTCCTTGGTCCATGGCCCACTTTCTCCATGTTCAAAGCCAGCAACATTGCATCTGTCTGAGAATTCTTCTGTAGTCACATCTCCCTCTGACTCTCTTCTACCTCTGCTTTTCTGCTCTTAAGGATGTTTGTGATTATATTGGTCTCACCTGGGTAATCAAGAATCTATTTTAAGGTCAGTTGATTAACATTCTTAATACCATGTGCAACCTTAATTCCCCTTTGCCAGGTAATCTAACATATTCACAAGTTTCAGAGATTAGGATATGGACATATGTTTTATTGGTCATGTTAAATAATTTGAATTTTTTTTTTTATGGCAAGGTAAACCATTAGAAGGCATCAAACCAGGGAGTAACAATATCAGATCTGCTTTTTAGGAAAATCACTCTGGCTACGTTTGGTGTGTCATACAATTTAATAGGTCATTTCCAGTACCTTTTTCTACTGATGTATTAAAAACTTTATTTTGCAATAATTTTAGACTTACAGAAGTGTTGCAAAGATATACAGAAAGTGCAGTACCCTTCAGTCAGCTTCCTCTAACAATAACTTATGAAACTTTTTTTTTTTTGAGCCTCCCAGGTTCAAGCGATTCTCCTGCCTCAGCCTCCCAAGTAGCTGAGACTACAGGCACTTGCCACCACGCCTGGCTAATTTTTGCGTTTTTGTATTTTCAGTAGAGATGGGGTTTCGCCATGTTGGTCAGGCTGTTCTCGAACTCCTGACCTGCCCACCTCAGCCTCCCAAAGTGCTGGGATTACAGGCATGAGGCACTGTGCCCAGCCTGTCTTCCGAAACTTTGGTACATTTATCAAAACCAGGAAATTAACATTGGTGAAATAAAATTAACTGCAAATTTTACTGATGTTTCACCAGTTTTTACATGAATGTCTTTTTTTCTGTTTCAGGATTTAATTCAGGATATCATGTTGCATTTAGTTGTCATGTCTCATTAGCCTGTAGTCTGACAGTTTCTTAGTCTTGTCTTTTTTTTTTTTTTCCAATGACTTCCTCGTTTTTGAAGAGTACTGATTGGGTATTTTGTAGACAGTTCCTCACTTTGAGTTTGCTGATGCTTTCTCATGATTAGATTGTGTGTATGAATTTTTCGTAAGAATACCACACAGGTGAAGTATGCTTCTTATTGAGTCATTTCAGGGTTTACGTGATACCAGCTTGTTTTATTACTGATCATGTTAACCTTGGGCACTTGGTTAAGAGGGTTGTCTTAGCTAGGTTGCTATATTGAAACATCATTGACTGAGGCTTAAACAATAGACATTTCTTTTCTTCTTTGAGGCAGTGTCTCACTGTCACCTGGGTTGGAGTATAGTGGCTCAATCATGGTTCACTGAAGCCTTGACCTCCCAGGCTCAAGCAATCCTCCCACCTCAGCCTCCCAAGTAGCTGGGACTACAGGCACGTGCCACCATGCCTGGCTAATTTTTCTTTTTTTTTTTTTTTTGTAGAGACGGGATTTCACCATGTTGCCCAAGCTAGTCTTGAACTCCTGGACCCAAGCAATCTGCCCGCCTCGGCCTCCCAAATTGCTGGGAGTACAGGTGTGTGCCACTACGCCCAGACATTTATTTTCACAACAGTTCTGGAGGCTGGAAGTTTGAGAGAGTGTCAGCATGGTCATATTCTAATGAGGGCCCTCTATCCACCTTGTCACTGTGTGCTCACATGGCCTTTTCTTGGTATGTGCACGTAGAGAGATCTCTCTCTTCTTTTTATAAGGGCACTCCTTCTCTCATGGTGGTCCTGCCTTCATGACCTAATGTAAACCTGATTACCTCCCAAAGGCCCCACCTCCTAACACCATCACATTGGGCCTCAGCATAGTTTTGGAGGGACATAAACATTGAGTCCATAATAGAGGGATGTCTACGAGGTTCTTCCTCTGTGAGGTTATTTTTTCCTTTTCATGGTCTGTTTATTAGGAGTGATTCACTTAACTCCAGCCTACTTTGAAAAGAAAGAGAAGCTGGATGCAGTGGCTCACACCTGTAATCTCAGCACTTTGGGAGGCCGAAGCAGGAAGATTACTTGAGGCCAGGAGTTCGAGACCAGCCTGGCTAACATAGACCTTGTTTCTACAAACAAAGTAAAATTATTACCAGGGTGTGGTTGCACTCACCTGTAGTCCCAGCTACTCTGGAGGCTGAGATGGGAGGTTCACTTGAGCCCAGGGCTTCAAGGTTACAGTGAACTATGATCATACCTTTGTAGTCCAGACTGGGTGACAGAGCAAGACCCTGTCTCTTAAAAATGTAGGGAAAAAAGGGAATTAAACTCTACCTGCTGCAGTGAGGTATACCAAATGATTTGTGGGCTTATGTTCAAATCACCACAGTAATTAAGAAATATTCTTTGGGAGATACTTTGAAGTTATTCTACCATTCTCTTTCTTCTCAAAATTTCACTCACAGCCAGGCGCGGTGGCTCACACCTATAATCCCAATACTTTGGGAGGCAGAGGCGGGTGGATGATGAGTTCAGGAGTTCAAGACCAGCCTGGCCAGGATGGTGAAACCCCATCTCTACTAAAAATACAAAAATTAGCTGGACGCAGTGGCAGGCACCTGTAATCCCAGCTACTTGGGAGGCTGAGGCAGGAGAATTGCTTGAACCCAGGGGGTGGAGGTTGCAGTGAGCCAAGATCACGCCACTGCACTCCAACCTGGGTGACAGAGTGAGACTCATCTCAAAAAAAAAAAAAAAAAAATTTACTCACTAATTTTAGCATGTCACTCATGAGTTTTGCTTACTCTCACCTGCATCAATTACTACTGTGCAATTCTTTTTTTTTTTTTTTTTTTTAAAGAGCCAGAGTCTTCCTCTTGCTCAGGCTGGAGTACACTGGCTATTCACAGTTGTAGTCCCACTACTGATTAGCATGGGAATTTTGATTTCCTTAATTTCCTATTTCTGCCAGTTCACCTCTCCTTAGGTAACCTGGTGGTCCCCTGCTCCTGGAAGGTCACCATATTGATGTCAAACTTAGTGTAGACACCCAATCAGCATAACACATTACAGCCCAGAACTCATGGGCTTAAGGGATCCTCTCACTTCAGCCTTCCCAGTAGCTGGGATTACAAATATTTGCCACAGCACCAGCTACTGTGGATTTCTAATGGTAATTTCCTCTTTCCCTGTTTCTTATAAGGGAGATTTGCCCATTTAATCCCATTTTAAAATTTATTCAATCATTTGTGTATGTTATTATAAACTCACAAATATTTATTTTATTATTTGGGCTATAATCCAATGCTGTATATAGAGAGGGAGACAGGGTCTTGCTCCATTGCCTAGGCTGGAGTGCAGTGGTACAGTCATGGCTTGCTGCATCCCTAACCTTCTGGGCTCAAGCGATCCTCTCAAGTAGCTGGTGTCATCTGCCTTGCTAATTTTTTTTTTTTTTTTTTAAAGAAATGGAGTCTCGCTGTGTTGCCCAGGCTGGTCTCAACCTCCTGCCCTCAAGCAATCCTCCTACCTTGACTCCCAAAGTGCCAATACTATTGATACTTACTTTTGTTGCTCAGATTATTGCAGCTGTGGCCATTGAGAGCTCTTTCAAGTTGGCTTCTGTATCCTTTTCCCCCAATCTTTTTGTTGTTTGGCCACTTCCTTACTTTCTGACACTACAAGTTACTCTATCTTGTACTTGCCTTATCCCAGTACCAAAATCAGCCCTATGTCCAAGGGACTCTGGTTTCTTTTATTGGAGGATGATATTTAGAAACCAAGAACTGGGTGTTGGATATGCTTATTACTACGGGTGTGTCACTGCTTCAGGCTCTGAAAGTCGACAGAGCTATGAAATGTGAGTATGTATATGTATATGCTAACCCATCTATAATTATTTTTGTGTCTATCTGTATCTGTATTACCTAAACATCATTCAGTTAGGTTATCATACATTTGTAATACAGTTAGACTGATCTGTCACAGTCTGTATTCTAGCCTAGGTTTTCTTGATATCCTGGTTGATTTTTAAAGAAAATTTACCTATAGTATATTTCCTTTCATTCTTTGTAGAGTACAGCTGTATAGGTTTAGATAAACATATGTAATCATGTATCTATTATGCCACTGCAGTACCATCTGGAACAGTTCCATCACCATGAAAAAAAAAAAAAGTTCTTATAGTCAGTACCTCTCACCAGCCCCTGGCAGCCATTGCTCTGTTCTCTATCCTTGTTATTCTGAATGTCATGTAAACGGAACCATATAATATGTAGCCTTTTGGGTCTGGCTCCTTTTGCTTAGCTACATTCATCCATGCTACTGCACAAATTGATATTCTGTTCCTTGTTATTGCTAAGTAGTATTCTGTTGTATGTGTATACCATGATTATTTGTCCCTTCCTCTGTTATCAGACATCTTGGTTGTTTCCAGTGTTTGGTAGTTATAAAAAAAGCTACCATAAACATTCATGTACTGGCTTCTGTGTGAACGCAAGTTTGCAGCTCACTTAGGTAAATAACTACAGTGGGACTGTTGGGTTACATAGTAAATATATACTTAAGTTTATAACAAATTGCCAGATTATTTTTCAGGGTGGCTATACTAGTATGTATTCCCTCCAACAATGAGTGAATGTTTCTCTTGCACCACATCTTTGCCAGCATTTGATATTTTCGGTTTTTGATAGTGTCTTGTTGTAATTTAATTTGTATTTTCCTAATAACTAATGATGAGCATCTTCTCATGTATATTTTACATTCTTACATCTTTTGTGGTGATTATCTTTTCAGATGTTTTACCAATTTTTGGTTGGGTTGTCTATTTTTTTAGTTGAGTTTTAAGAGTTCTTAGTGTATTCTGGATACAAGTTTTTTATTGAGTATCTGATTTGCAAACATTTTCTTTCTGTGTTATTCTTTTAATTTTCCTGAACATTTTCATGACTGTGTCTTATTTTTATTTTATTTTATTTTTTTAGACAGATATCGGGGGAACCCGCCTCCAATAATTCAACGTTATTTCACGTAGGTTCTTTTCTGTTTCCCTAAGTGTCAGCTGGTCTGAGAAATAAAGGGAAAGAGTACAAAAGAGAGAAATTTTAAAGCTGGGTATCTGGGGGAGACATCACATGTCGGCAGGTTCTGTGATGCCCCCTGAACCCTAAAACCAGCAAGTTTTTATTAGCAATTTTCAAAGGGGAGGGAGTGTACTAATAGGATGTGGGTCACAGAGATCCCATGCTTTAAGGGCAACAAAAGATCACAAGGCAGAAGATCAGGGTGAGATCTCAAGGTCAGGGCAAAACTAGAATCACTAATGAACTTCCATGTCCCGCTGTGCATGCATTGTCATTTATAAACATCTTAACATGGTTCAAGAGCAGAGAACCAGTCTGACTAGAATTCACCAGGCTGGAATTTCCTAATCCTAGCAAGCCTGGGGGTGCTGCTGGAGGCCAGGGCATGTTTCATCCCTTATCTGCAACTGCATAAGGCAGACATTCCTAGGGTGGCCATTTTAGGCCCCCCCCCCCCCCCCCCCGAATGGCTGTTAATTATTAATATTCCTTACTGGGGAAAGAATTCAGCGATATTTCTCTTACCCGTGTTCGGTAATAAGAGAAATATGGCTCTGCCTGCCTGGCCCACAGGCAGCCAGACTTTAAGGTTATCTCCCTTGTTCCTGAAAATCGCTGTTATCCTGTTCTTAAGGTGCCCAGATTTCATATTGTTTAAACACATATGCTCTACAAACAATTTGTGCAGTTAACGCAGTCATCACAGGGTCCTGAGGCGACATACATCCTCAGCTTACGAAGATGAAAGGATTAAGAGGGCATAGGAAATTAAGAGTATTGATTGCGGAAGTGATAAATGTCTATGAGATCTTCACAATTTATATTCTTCTGTCACGGCTTCAGCAGGTCCTGCCGTTCGGTATCCCTGACTTCCCGCAACAGACGGAGTTTCGCTCTTGTCCCCCAGGCTGGAGTGCAATGGCGTGATCTCAGCTCACTGCAACCTCCACCTCCTGGGTTCAAGTGATTCTCCTGCCTCAGCCTCCCAAATAGCTGGGATTACAGGCATGCGCCACCACACCCGTTTAATTTTTGTATTTTTAGTAGAGACAGGGTTTCTCCATGTTGCCCAGGCTGGTCTCGAACTCCTGACCTCAGGCACACCTGGCCAACTGTGTCTTATCTGTCTTTAATCCTTAGCTCCTTTCACAGAGCAAACTTTTTTTTTCATTTTGGTAAAGTCAAGTTTCTCAATATTTTATGTTGCTGACTATGCTTTGAGTATCATAGGTAATGTTGAGGCTCAGAAAATGAAACCTCAGGCTGGGTGCAGTAGCTCTCGCCTATAATCCCAGTACTTAGGGAGGCCGAGGCAGGAGGATTGCCTGAGCCCAGGAGTTCAAGACCAGCCTGGCCAACATGATGAAACCCTGTCTCTACTAAACATGCAAAAATTAGCCAGGTATGGTGGTGGGTGCCTGTATTCCCAACTACTAGGGAAAGTAAGGCAGGAGAATCACTTGAACCCTCAGGTGGAGATTGGGGTGAGCTGAGATCGCACCACTGCACTCCAGCCTGGGTGACAGAGCAAGATTCTGTCTCCAAAAAAAAAAAAAGAAAGAAAAATAAAACAAAACTCCAAAATGAAGGCCTCAGAAGTAGCCTCAGAAGCAAAAGTTTTTCTCTGACTTTCTGTTGCCTGCCTGTCTCTCAGTCCCGTTCTCCCCTGAGGCTAGCCTTAGAAACCAGATTCCCTCTTCCCCAAGGCAGGTCATAGAAACTGGAACCTTTTTTCCCCAAAGCAAGCCACAAAACCTAAAAATATTATTCTAACTTTCCCTCTGTCCTATGTGTAAAAACTGGCCTTAAAGAAATTATCTCACCTACATTGTTTGAATGTAGGTCATAAGACCCCTATTCCAGAGAGGGTCCTGCCCCATAAGCAGAAAGAAAGAATGTGTGCTCAGGCCAAGAAGAATCTAAACAGATAGGCCTTCCTGGGTTTCCCCATTCAGTCTGTTCACATTAGATTATAGCCTTTTTATCCAATTATACTTCTGCATGGCTGTCCGTACTTTGTTGAACCTAAGGATAAAAATGGACAGTTTCCTCTATCTTTGGGTCTACACGTTAAATAAATTTGTATGTCTTTTATCCTGTTAATCTGCCTTTTGCAAGTTGATTTTTCAGCACACCTTCAGAGGGCCAAGGGGAGCTGCCCCTTTGGCCTCTGTAGTAAGAATTCATTGTCAATCCCAGATTCCCTTCAAAAATCCATATTTTCTCTTAAGTGTTTAATTTACAATGAGATTTAGGATTCTTTTTTTTTTTGGGATGGAGTTTCACTTTTGTCGCCCAGGCTGGTGTGTGGTGGTGCGATCTTGGCTTACTCCAAGCTCCGCCTCCCAGGTTCAAGCGAGTCTCCTGCCTCAGCCCTCCCGAGTAGCTGAGATTTCAGGCATGCACCACCATGCCCGGCTAATTTTGTAGAGATGGGGTTTCACCATGTTGGCTAGGCTGGTCTCCAACCCCTGACCTCAGGTAATCCGCCCACCTAGGCCTCCCAAAATGCTGGGATTACAGGCATGAGCCACCACACCCGGCCTGTGATTCATTTTGACTTAATTTTTGTTTAAGACCAGAGGTATATGTTGAGGTTCTTTTCTTTTTTTCACATGTAGATATCTAGTTATTCCAGCACCATTTGTTGAAAGAACTATCTTTCCTCAATTGCATTGCCTTGGCACCTTTGTCAAAAATCAGTTGACTGTATTTTTATGGGTCTGTTTCTAGACTGTTGCATTCTGTGTATCTGTCCTTTCACCAATACCACACTTCTTAAATTGTTGTAACCTATAAAGTAAGCCTTAAAATTGGGTAATGTGAGTCTTCCAACTTTGTTCCTTTTCAGTTTTTCTTTGTTTTTAGTAACTTTGTATTACTATAGAAATTTTAGAATCCGCTTGTTGATATCTACAAAAAAAACCTGCTGGTGTTGTTTATTATGATTGCATTGAATCTAAAGATCAAAATTGAGATAAGTTACATCATAATATCAAGTCTTCTAATCCATGAACACAGTATGTCATTCCATTTCTTTAAATCCTTGCTTCTTTTCATCAGCGTTTTGTAGTTTTCTTTATATAGGTTCTGAACATATTTCATTAGATTTACATCTAAGTACTTCTTTTTGTGCTATTATAAATGATACTGTTTTTTAAAATCTTAATTCCCCTTGTTTACTACTGATCTTTAGAGACATAATTGATTCTTGTATATTGACCTTATATTCTATGACCTTGATAAACTCACTTATTAATTCCAGGCATTTTTTGGAAGATTTTTTTGGGATTTTCTACTTAGTCATGTCATTCTGCAAATAAAGACAGGTTTTTTTTGTTTTTTTTTTTTTTTTTTTACTCCTTTCCAGTCTATCTACTATTTATTTATTTTTCTTGCCTCACTGAAGGGGCTGTTACATCTTGTACATTATTGAATAGGAATGATGAGAGAGGACATCTTGCCTTCCATGTAATCAATGTTAGGACGAAAGCAGTCTGTCTGTCCCTTACCATTAAGTATGGTTTGCTATAGGTTTTTAGTAGATAGTCCTTATCAGGTTAAGAAAGTTTCTTTCTCTTCCTAGTTTATTGAGAGTTTTTATCATGAATGGATGCCAAGTTTTATCTAATGCATTTTCTGTATCTATTGATGTGATTATGTGGCTTTTTCTTAAGTCTGTTAATATGTTGAATCACATTGAATGTATTTCAAATGGTCAGTCAGCCTTGTATTCCTAATATGAACCCCATTTGGTCATAATGTATTTTACTTTCAATATATTGTTGTTTTCTATTTGCTGAAGTTTTGTTCAATGGTAGAGCTCACAGCTAAGTTAAACAAATACTTTTCCTGAAGATAACATTTATACTTCAGTGTGCAATAAAAGTGCTTTATGTTTCACAGAGACCATCATTTTTAATCTAATAAAATTATGTGTGAGTGCATGGTGGTGAAGAATATAGTAACTGCTAGTATTGCTTGGTGCCATTGCTTCAGTTTGTGCCCCAGGGTTCACATTGCAGCCATCATTGCTTTTGTATCATTAGTATAATTGTCAACACAGTGAAAAAGGCAAATATCATCTTAGTACTGTTATGAAAATAGTTTTTACTCATGGATTTTCCCCAAAGAGTTTCTGGCACTGCTGGAGTTTTGTATACTACACTTTGAGAATTTCTGTTCTATATCTTTATTAATGTCTTAGGACTGCTGAAACAAATGGCCACAAAGTAGGTAGCTTAAAACAACATAAATGTATTTTTCTGCAGTTATGAAGTCTAGAAGTCTGAAATTAAGGTGTTGGCAGGTCTACTTCTTAGTCCATTTTGTGCTACTATGACAGAATGCCTGAGACTGTCTAGTTTATAATGAACAGAAATTTACTTCTCACAATTCTGGAGGCTGGGAAATCCAAGATCAGGTGCCAGCACCTGGCTAGGGCCTTCTTGCTGTGTCATAACATGGCAGAAAACATCACGTGGCAGAAGGGCAAAGGTGAGGGCAGAGAAAAGGGGACCAAACTTGCCCTTTTATATCAATCTCACTTCTGTGATAGTGGCATTAATGCATTCATAAGGGCACAGCCTCTTAATACCGTTACAATGGCAATGAAATTTCAAGATGAGTTTTGGAGGAGCAAACATTTAAACCATAGCAGTCATGCTCCTTCTGTAGGCTCATAGGGGAGTAATATGTTCATTGACTCTTCCTACTTGTCTCACTGTTGGCATTCCTTGGCTTGTGGCTACATCACTCTGTGCTCCAACTTCACATTGCCTTCTCTCTGTTTATGTGTATGTCTTTTCTTCTGTATGTATATTTTATAAAGATACATGTGATTGCATTTAGAACCCACTCAAATAATCCAAGAGAGGCTCCTCTTCCCCAGATCTTTAACCTAAGCATGTCTTTTGTCATTTAAGGCAATAATCACACTTTTCCATGTAATTTTCACAGGATTGGGGGGATTAGGATGTGTACATAATCTTTTAGCGGGCCACTCTTTAGCCCACTACATGCTTTACTGATTATTACAAGTGTTAGACTGCTATGTGTTGTCCCACAGGTCTCTCGAATTTTGTTCATTTTTCTTCAGCCTTTTTTTTTTCTCTATGTTTCTTAGATCATTTTCTTAACCAATCTTCAAGGTTGGTCAACTTAATCAAGGTTCATTAAGTCTTCTGCCATACTGTAGAGACCATTTAGCATATTTATTTGTTTTATTTTGAATATTTTTTAAATAGTTTTCATTTCTCTCGATATCCCTTGTCTGTTCATTTACTGGTAACATTTTCCCCCAATTTTTGGAATATATTTTCTTTTCATTTTTGGAATAGATTTATAAAGACTTTGCAGTCTCTGCCAAATTTGGCTTCTGGGCCCACTTTGATTCTGATCTCTACCTCCCTTATTGCTGGGCATCCTGACATCTCCCACTTCTGCACAGTTAAGCTGCCAACTAGAGACTTGACCCAACAATTGCAACTGGTAGGAAGTTATTTTTAGTAAAGTGAATGAACACAAAAATTACCTACAGATCTATTTATTAGGTGGTTTATGTTAAAAAAATGAAAACCTAAATGGCAGATAGAAAATTGATTAAAATATGGTAAATTCATGTAATGGAATACTATTCAGACATTAAAAATAATGATGGAAAGATATTCAAATCATGCTAAATGAAGGAATCATTTAAAAGATACATTATAATCCCACTTTTGCTTAACTAAATTATACATATATATGCAAAAAGAAAATACTGGGTGGATATACATCAGAATGTTAGCAGGTTATCTCGGGAAGATTAAGATGATTTTTATTTGATCACTTTCTGTATTTTTTTTTTTTACAATGACTGTATCACATTTGTGATAAGAAAAGTACTTCTGAAGTTATTTTTCAGAAATTTTACTATATATGTAACAAATTTTTTTCCTCCACAACTTTTATGTCTATTTTAGAAGTATTAAAATACCAGCAGTCTTTTCATACATGCTGCAGAATCATTTTGAATCCCAAGAAAGATCACAGATGAATAATTACTACAAGAGTTTTTTATTCAGATAAGTTAAACATAATATATGTATATGTGTACATAATGCACTGTGTTGCTCTACTCTTCGAAAAAATAGTTCTTTCTTGGAATACAATATTTGGAGGCCATAGAGCTTAAATAAATGTGGAAGAAAACTGAAGCAGGTACACGAGAAAAGAATAGGGGGAAAACACTGAGGGCAGAAAATTTAATCTGTCATGAGAGGCAGAAACAACTGGAATCATAGACATATGCTGTAGACTTTCACCATCCAGTGTGGTGGCCACTAGCTGTACATGGCTGTTGAGTACTTGACATATGGTTGATCAGATTGAGAAGTGCTATAAGTGTAAAATACATAATGATTTTTGAAGAAATAGTACAAAAAAGCAAAATATCTCAGTAATTTAAAAATACTGAATACATGTTAAAAATGATTTACATTTGTCTTTATTAACTTTAATTACTTTCAGATACTTTTTTATACATTGGGAACATTTAGGTCTTGATATAAAGTATGAAATAGTAAGCATCCACATATGATTAGATATATTAGATATTCCCACCCCCCATGTTTTCCTGGAGTAAGTACCTTTCTTTGATAGGCTAGAAAGTAAATAGACTTATTCTGGTGGGCAACTCACTTCTGATAAATTTCAGCAGCTAGGACATTCCTGTTATTTTTAAAAGAATGACATTTGAATAGTTGGGACATAATGATTATTTCTCGTTTCAGATCATGTAGCATGGATATGCCAGATCAGTCACTAAGTGGGTAGATATTTGAACAGATTTCTCTAAATCTGACTTGGCTCTTCATTGATAAATTCTACTAGTGTAGAGTTTTCTGACACTACAGTGAAAGGTAGCAGATCCATCTTTTAATATATTTAAATAGGAGAAAGGAGGACAACATTTTACTTTTGTCGTGTTAATGAAAGATCCTAACAGACTTTATTTCCTTAAGTAAATAAATTCTTTCAGATGAATTATTACCATCTAAAATAATCTAAGAAAAGTAAATTATACACCTAGTAAAATAGCGTTATCAGTATTTTGGTTTTCTGTATACTTCTTGGAATTATAGGAGGAATGTAGATGATATTTTTCCCTTACAGCTTGACTGTGTAAGTTATTTTTATGCTGGCCGTAGAATATATATTACATGACCAGAAATGAAGATTCCATTACATTACTTAGTACAAATTGAAAACAATTAGAAAATGTATGCTTTATTCTTATCTCTTTTATAAACAAGTATTTTAATACATTATTATGGCAAGGAGTGTAGTGGTACTTCCTTTGTGTACTTGTGTCAGTGGAGCTAAAACATCTTGTCAATTTTCTATTAAATTATCCTTTGATTTGAGATATGGCACAGATACCTGTTTCCTTCCACAAGACAGAAAAATTAGATTCCAAGATAATTAAGATTTGCCCAAAACCCAAAGAAAAGTAATTGGAACTAAAACTAGAATTCTGTTTTTGGGACAATTGGCCATTTGTAGCAAAGGACAGCAGATCATTGGTTAAGAGCATAAACTTGAGCCAGATTGCCTGATTCAAATTCCGGCCCATTTAGTTCCTAAGCATGTAACTGTGTTAAACATCTTGACTTTTGTGGCTCACTTATTGATAAATGGGTATAATAATACTATTTACTTTAGAGGATTAAAGAAGTTAATATATGTAAAGCATTTAGAACAGTGAATGGCATATAATGTAATATATTAATATATTAATATTAATAAGACTAATATTAGGATTAATGTTTTGTTGGTATTAATAAAATAAATATATGCTATACTTATCAAAGATATATAAAGATGAAAGTATAAAACACTAGAGTAAAACATGGTTTTATAGTTTTATAATCTTGAAATGAAGAAACCTCTACTAAGTATGATTTAAAAATCTGTCAAGCATAAAAAAAGAATTTTACTACATAATCAAGAAACTATAGCAAAAGATACCATGAACAAAGTGAAAACATAACAGTAACCTGGGGGAAATACTTACAGCACATAACATTAGGCTAATTTTCTACTGTGTGAGAACAGCTAGAAATCATTAAGGAAATCGCAATGCTACAGAAAAAGCAAACAGCAGAGAAAGACACCCAAATGAGAGTCTCAGCATCATTCAAAGTTAACTACTGTAAACTAAAGTGTTTCTCACTTTTCAGATTGGCAGAGATTAATATATAGTCAGTATTGGGACAATGAGGCAATATGAAGCATTATTGATGGGAGGTATAAATTGATAGACCTTTTAAGAGATATTTGCCAATAATGTCAATTTTAAAAACATAAACCTTTTGAACTTCCAGTTTGACTTCTAGAAATTTGTCTTATAGCTTCATCATAAAAGTTGACCTCATAAATATAGATTAGTTCAACCCCAAGATATTCATCAATGGAGATTTGGTGAATAATGTTATATCTCTACAATAAAGTACTATATGTAAATTTTTAAAAGAATAATGAGGATTTATATATGCTAATACTTAAGGATATTCAGCATATATTAAGTAAAAGCAAGTTGCGGAACTGTAATATCCTTTTTGTGTGTTTAAAAAATCAAGTAAATTATATACATGCTTACATATGCATTACATAGATACATGGATATACAGAGGATGCATAAGCATTAACTGTAACTATATCTGGGAAATAGGATATAAGCTACTAGGCAGAGATTTTTAATTCATACTCTTTATTGTTTGAATTTTTTCTACAGTGGGTATATTGTTACTTTTCTAGTTAGGAAAAATAAAAACTGAGAAAAAAGTTTTAGCTGTGTGCAGTGGCTCATGCCTATAATCCCAGCATTTTGGGAGGTTGAGGGAGGAGAGTCACTTGACTCTAGGAGTTTAAGACCAGCCTGGGCACACAGTGAGACCCTGTCTCTACAAGAAAATAAATTTAGAAACATTGGCTGGGCCGTGGTGTATGGGAGACCAGCCTGGGCAACACAGTGAGAGCCTGTCTCTGTAAAAAATAAATAAGTAAAAATTAGCTGGTCACCATGGTGCACGCCTGTGGTCCCAGCTGCTCGGGAGGCTGAGGTGAGAAGATTGCTTGAGCCCAGGAGAACAAGGCTGTAGTGAACCATGATCATGCCATCGCGCTCTATAGCCATCACACTCTATAGAGCCTGGGGTCAGAGCGAGACCCTGTCTCAAAGTTTAAACTTCTTCCAGGATGGGTATATTAGTTACTGATAGCTGCATAACAAAATACCCCCTAAGCTTAACAACTTGTAAAACAACAACTATTTATTTCACAGTTTCTCAGGAAGATAAACTTGGGAGCAGCCTAGCTAGGTGGTTCTGGCTCAGGGTCTCTCATGAGATAACCTGTTGGCTGGGCTATAGTTATCTCAAGATTCTACTGAGTTTGGAGGATCTGCCTGAAAGCTCAGTCGTGGTTGTTGGCAGATCTTAGTTTCTCTTTGGCTGTTGGCCAGAGAGTTAAGTTCCTCCTTGCATGGGCTTCTTCATAGGGCTGTTCACGGCTTGGCAGGTTAGCTTCTTTCAGACTGGGGTATCTGAGAGAAAGAGAGCCAGAGCTCAAGACTGGGCTAACATGGAAGTGACATATCATCACCTTTGCCGTATGCTACTGTTCATACAGACCAGTCCTGGTACATTGTGAGGGAGGACTACAAGGGTGTGAATAACAGGAGGTGGGGATCATTGGGGGCCATGTTGGAGGCAGGCTACCATAATGGGTCTATAACAGTGTATACCTTTTGTAATAAGTTGGGATTATGGAAAAGAAAGTTAATTGCTTCAATATTTAAATGGGGGCTATTTTTAAAAATTAGTTATCTCTTTACAAATACCTGTAAATACTTGCTTTTTCAGGTCCAGCCCAGAATCAAATGCAGGTTCCATCTGGATATGGATTGCATCATCAAAACTATATTGCTCCCTCAGGACATTACTCTCAAGGACCTGGGAAAATGACCTCATTGCCATTGGATACCCAGTGTGGTGATTACTACTCTGCTCTCTATACAGTACCAACACAAAATGTGACTCCTAACACAGTGAACCAGCAACCAGGAGCACAGCAGTTGTACAGCAGGGGTCCTCCTGCCCCTCATATTGTGGGATCCACTCTAGGATCTTTCCAAGGTGCTGCATCGTCAGCATCCCATTTGCATACGAGTGCCTCCCAACCATACTCCTCTTTTGTGAATCACTACAATAGTCCAGCCATGTACTCTGCCAGCTCTTCTGTTGCGTCTCAGGGATTTCCCTCTACTTGTGGTCATTATGCTATGTCAACTGTTTCTAATGCCGCGTATCCTAGTGTTTCATATCCCTCTCTGCCTGCTGGTGATACATATGGGCAAATGTTTACCTCACAGAATGCTCCGACTGTTAGGCCAGTTAAAGATAATTCATTCTCTGGTCAAAATACAGCTATCAGCCATCCATCGCCACTTCCACCTCTACCATCACAACAGCACCACCAGCAGCAAAGTCTTTCAGGATACAGTACTCTAACGTGGTCATCTCCAGGCCTTCCATCGACTCAAGACAATCTCATCCGAAACCACACAGGATCCCTGGCTGTAGCGAACAACAACCCAACCATTACTGGTAGGTTGAATGAAAAGTTCACCAAAACATGTTTGAAAATCAGTGCATTCCCAATTAAGTTATTATTTACATGAAGGTTAGAGGTGATATTGCCTAATAGAAAAACTGGAAGTTTGCTAATTTATTGTGGCTTTTTGTAGCACCTCTTTGAACCCTTTCTTCTCATCCATTCCCAATTAGCCACCCAACCATCTGCCTTGTCTAGCTTGGTTCCTTGCCATGATCAGTCAACATTTATTGATATATTTTATACATCTGCAATAGTTGTCTTTAATGTGAATTAGATACAGGGCAAAATGGAAGGGTCTGTTTTGAGGATATGTTGGCCACTATTTTCTCTTTTATACTAGTTCAACCTTGGGACAGTTGTTTTTTTAGCCAGAGCCCCACTTACTTAGAAAAAAGGATGGTTTGCAGCAGTGCACTGGTTTCCCCAAGTTAGCCCCTATTAGTGACTTTTGCAGAAGACATCTTTCCTGCACGTAAACAGTGTTTCTCATTTTCAGATTAGTAAGTTAGGCTGAAAGATGGGGAAGGGAAAGGAAGATGCATGAAGAATACCCTGGTATTCAGCCCTTCTGACCTTCCTAAACCAAGGTGTTGTTAAATTTTTTCATTTAAAAATTATGTATGTAAGACGTGGCTTGCCCTTTTTTTTTTTTTTTGACACAGGGTCTCACTTTATCACCCAGGCTGGGCATGATCTCAGCTCACGGCAGCCTTGACCTCCTGGGCTCAAGCGATCCTCCCATCTCAGCCCCACAAGTAGCTGGGACTACCAGGCATACGCCACCACACCCAGCTAATTTTGTAGAGATGGGGTTTTGCCATGTTGCCCAAGCTGGTCTCGAACACGCGAGCTACTGTGCCTGGCCCAATGTGGCTTTTTAAGTGCAGTGTTTCCTTTCCCTAGGATATATTCATTTTAATTCAATTTGTGACTTGAATTTAACAGAATCTGCTTTTGAACCGAATGAAAATGCATGTAAAAAATGGGAATTGGTAAAGCTGTGGTAACTTTTGGAATGATGCCTTTAGATTGTGTATCATTATCTGGATAGCCATGTGTCAAAGATGCTGTGGAAAGATATCCTTCTCTGGACAATGAGATTATTTAAAATTAGAACTTTAATATTAGACCCAAGCTGTACATTTGAGATCATCTACTCTTTCATTGCTATGTCGTTTAGAAATGCTTTCAGATACAAGCAGCTAATAGTAGTTTAAACAAAAAGGGGGTATTTTCCTCACATCACAAGTCTAGGTGGATGCAGTGGATCCCGCTGTTCTTGGTATCCTTTTTTCTCTTTCCACTCTGCCACCTGCAGCATGTAGGTTATAGAAACAAGATACTTCTGTACCTATAGACATTAAGTCAGAATTAAAAGCACCAAGAAGGGAGAGGAAAGGGGACTGGTTAGTGGCATTGACAGACTTCATTTTACAGATCATTTGCCATAGCTGTTTAAAAGACCATTCCTAGCTTCAGGGAAGGCTGGAAAATGAATATTGAATCTTTTTTTTAGCATCCATAGTAGAGGCGAACAAGAAAAAAGGGAGTTAGCACTGACTTGGGTGAGTCAACTCAAAGTGTCTGTCACAGTTCCGAAATCTGGCTGTCTACCAGAATCACTGGCACAGATTGTGATATTCAACTACAAATTACTGAGCTAGAATAGAATCTCCAGGGTACTCTTGAGAATCTATTTCTAACTGGATCTTCAGTGATGCTGTGAAACACATCTAAATTTTACTGTAGTCCTTTTGTTTTACAAATGAAGAAAGTTATCCAAGTTGAATTGCCTGTGGTCATTAATGGTAGAAACAGAGCTTGGCCTAGAGGTCAGTTTCTTCTGTCTCCCTCAGAACCAGGGCTTTCTGTCCTCTAGAAATTGTTTTCCTCTCTCTTCTTTCAACATTCTATTTACAGATCCACTTATCCTAAAGTCCTTCCAACTTAAGGATTTTGTGACTTTCATGACAAAGGAAATACAAGTAATTCCTATCTTAGTTCTGAGGTGGAAATAGCACCCTGGATGGAACTAATTTATATTGAGATGTGTCAGGGAAATATGGGGTCACTTGGCTAATGAACAGAACATGTAATTGGGAAAGGCCTGTCATTAAGAAAAGATTAAATAAAGGGGGAGAATAATTACAAAACTATTCTCTGTTTGAGTAACTGCTCTAATGGGTCCTGTAGGCAGAGAGGCAGGATATATTTTCATTCTTTTAATCTTAGTACTGTACTGTGGATGCCATAATGAATATATTTTAGAATTTAATTTGTGTTCAGAAGTGGGTTTTTTTCCCCTGCATTTAGATTGGTAAATTACTTTTTAATTGAAGTTCAGAGGTTGACAAATTAAATATTATCTCAGGTTAATATGACAAACGTGCTTCATTTCAAAAAAAAAGAGGTTATTTTAAAAATCTACTTTAAAATTAAATATTGCCAAAGTTCCCAAACTTTCTCAGTTGATACGTTTCAATATTTTTCAAGTGCCCCATGTAACTTAGTAGTAGTTCGTAAGGTATCTGACACATATCACTGTTTTTCTTAACGATTTAAAATATTCCTTGGAAACCTGTGAATTTGTTGCAGTGCCTTGGGGAGCCTAGGTAAAAGTACCTTGTACTAGGTACAGGGTAAGGGAATACTGAGTTTAATGTTCTAGAAAGTCTGGCAACATAATTGCTTTCAATACTCAAATTATATTTTCACATTAAAATGAAAATCTTAAGTATTAAACATAGTTTTGTGTTTTGTTTTGTTTTGTTTTTGAGATGGAGTCTCGCTCTGTCACCCAGGCTGGAGTGCAGTGGCGCCATCTCAGCTCACTGCAAGCTCCGCCTTCCAGGTTCATGCCGTTCTCCTGCCTCAGCCTGCCGAGTAGCTGGGACTAGCGGCACCCGCCACCACACCTGGCTAATTTTTTATATTTTTAGTAGAGACAGGGTTTCACCATGTTGGCCAGGATGGTCTTGATCTCCTGACCTTGTGATCCGCCCGCCTTGGCCTCCCAAAGTGCTGGGATTACAGGCGTGAGCCACTGCACCCGGCCAATAGTTTTGTGTTAAATTCAACCTTTGAATAATTGACAAAAATGATTACCTTCTTTACTACTTGATTATACTATCTTCATTTCAGATATACTAAAAGTCCTCAGTCATTTTATAGAGTTGGAGATGCAAAAGTATAAACCTGAGTTAAGCAAATATCAAAAATATGACAGATGGATACATACTGTTATTTTTAGGCAGCTAATGAATTCATATTCAAAACATAGACTAAAGGGGACCTTTAAATATTATCTCATTTGCTTTATTTTAGAAAAGCCTATTAGTACATTATAATTCAGTACTAGAACTTCAATTATTTTATTAAAAAGTCCACTCCAGCCGGGCGCGGTGGCTCACGCCTGTAATCCCAGCACTTTGGGAGGCCGAGGCGGGCGGATCACGAGGTCAGGAGATCGAGACCATCCTGGCTAACACGGTGAAACCCCGTCTCTACTAAAAATACAAAAAATTAGCCGGGCGTGGTAGCGGGCGCCTGTAGTCCCAGCTACTCGGGAGGCTGAGGCAGGAGAATGGCGTGAACCCGGGAGGCGGAGCTTGCAGTGAGCC
Source organism: Homo sapiens (assembly GCF_000001405.40). Lineage (NCBI taxonomy): Eukaryota > Metazoa > Chordata > Mammalia > Primates > Hominidae > Homo > Homo sapiens. The sequence continues at coordinate 109,467,275 of NC_000004.12, forward strand.
GAGATCGCGCCACTGCACTCCAGCCTGGGCGACAGAGCGAGACTCCGTCTCAAAAAAAAAAAAAAAAAAAAAAGTCCGCTCCAAGTATGTATGTTTTGAGTGTTACATTAGTTGTTAAAGTTGGTTGCACTTTTGGCTAGTGTTTAAAAGGTGTCATTTCGTTAGGCCATTTAAAAATTTTAAAACTGTCACTGTAGTTGAATCTCTAGTATAGTCAAGTAACCTAGTATAGAATTGTAATAGATAATAAGTACAGAAGCTCTTTTTTAGTTTGAGGTGAAGTTGCCTGAGTGTGACTTGGGGATGTAAAGATGCCCATTTTTGACAGCAAGATGAGTACCAAAACTGTAGATTCATTTAAAATAATTTTCTTAATTTGTCTTTAGTATCCCTTTGTTTTACAAAGCACATACTTTTAAAAATTAGCAAGATAAGTCTTGTTGCCAAGATGTAGAATTTTGCCAGAAAAATTATTTTGATTAAAATTAATTATTTTGAAAATTTCTTGCTTAATAAGGACCACATCTTGATAGCGTATTATAAAACAGTAGTGCCTGATTAATGCTGTTTTCTGATGCACAGTTTTATATAAAAGCATTTAAAAAGCTACTTGAGTAAAAATAATAAGTGTTTATATAATTCTTCACAGTTGATCTTAGCCAAAAGGCCGAGAAGCGGTATATAATTCTTAAATAAAAGTCCACTACACGCATGACACTAAGATATAGTCACTGATAAGTTAATACTGTATCTGTCATCTCTGGTTGGTAATGTGCCTGAGGAAAAGCAAAAGCAAATACCTTGTAGGACATGATTATTTGGACATAGAAATATAAGTAAGAAATAAATTAGACAACCACATTGGAAAAATAAAATGCTCATACAAAATACAAGTAGTGCAGTACAAGAGACTATTTTTAGTTTTGGAAACTTGTGTGATTGTAGAGTTATGGGAATAGCGTAATTTTACTCCCTCACATACTTATTCCTTCAGTTTTTCTAAAGATACTCTTGAACCTTTTTTCATCTTTTTTCAACTTTGTGCCCACTACTTGTAAATTTTTCTACATGTTCTCCCTCTCCAAGCTGAGAAGACGAGATGTTCATCTTTGTGTTCACTTACTTCAGATTCTGGCTTTAGCTGTTATCCCCTCTCCAGAGTATCAGCCTCAATTTCTGCTGGACTGTGGCATTTGGATAGGTGAGAGGAATTAATGAAAGAAAAACATACTCCTTGTCCTATATGTAATCAGCAGCCATTAAAAGTTTATAAGCAAGGTGTTGGCACTATCAGATTTGTGTTTCAGAACTTTCTTCTGTGAACAGTGTAGTAGATAACTGGAGGAGGAAGAACCTAGATCAGGAAAACGAGCTGGAAAGGAATTATTACAATTATCTAGGTGAAGGATGATAACTTGGGCTGGATTTATTTATGCAGAAGACATGATAGAGATGACTTCAAGGATTTGTTGATGTAGTTTATGAAGGAAAAAGAAGAATACAAGATGACTTAAAATTTCTAGCTTGAACAACTTGAATGGGTAGTGGTACTAATCGCTCCTAGTTTCTAAAGAATTTTTTGCACAATTACTTAAGATAGGGCTTACTTTTACAGGATATATGAATAAAGGAGTATTCTTTTCAGAGGCCATCTACATACCTAATCATATGTGTTATGCATGAAGAAGTGAATTCTAAGTAACTAACAGGGAACTAAGGAGCTACTAAGAACTAAAGGCCCGGCATGTTGGCTCAGCCTGTAATTGCAGCGCTTTGGGAGGCTGAGGCAGAAGGATCACTTGAGCCCAGGAGTAAAAGTAAAAAATTAACTGAGGAACTGCCATAATTATCAAAAAAAAAGAAAATATTTATTCTTGAATCATGATTTCCTTCTCTTAGAAATCACACCTCAGAAACTAAACAGTGCAGCAGTGCATTTCGCGTAGTCCAGTTTTATGTGTTGTTTGTTTTGTCAAATTCCCTTTGTGAAAGGAGCAGCTTCTTGATTGGTGTGCCTCCCTGGTCCTTAATGTTAGTAGACCTTGTCTCCATTCATCCAACAAATACGTGAAAGCTAACTATGTTCCATGAGTTGTTCTAATGTTGGGAGATAAAATAGTGAGTAAAAACACTTAGTGCTATCCTCATAAAGTTTGCAATTCACTTAGAGAAGCAAGTATTATCCAGATAAACACAAATGAATGTAAAATTCCTATTATTATTTAAGCAACATGAAGCAACCGTATATGGTACTTCGGAGCATTACTTTAGGTGCATTTAGCCTATTAGTCATGAAGCCTAGAGAAGTCTTCCCTAAGAAAGTAATACTTCAGCTGTAATCTGAAGGATAAAGTCTCCATGTATAAAATTAATTGCAGGTGAAGTAAATGTGTAAATGCAAAAAGGCAAAACTTTAAAACTTCTCAGAGAAAATCTCTATCTCTAGAACCTTGGAGTAGGGAAGGAATTTTTAAGGACAATGCACATAATGCTAGCCACAAAGGGTAAACATGATAAACGCAACTCATTTCTAATTTAAAACTTTTCCTTATTGAAAGACAACATGAAAAAAAGAAAAACATAAGCTGCGAACTGGGAAAAAATGTATATGCTTACAGTATTTACCCAGAATATACAAGTGCTGCATAGAAATTAATAAGGAAAAGACCAACAACCAAAAGAAAAATACTTGAATAGGCATTGCACAGAAGATGAAATGAAAACATAATCTCATTAATAAACAGTGAAAAGCAAATTAAAACTAGAATGGGATATCATCTTATACCTACTAACAGATGGGTAAAAATTAGAAAGTCTAACAATACCAAGGAATGGTCAGGATGTGGAGTAACAGGAAACTCTTAGACACTCTTGGTAGGAGGCTATATTCATTCATATTTTAGGAAAATTTGGCATTAGTAGATTGAAAATAACCACATCCCACAACACAGCTATCTGTCTTCCATATACTCTAGAGAAGTTCTCCTCAAACTATACATCTGTGTCACCTGGGATCCTGTTTAAAATGTAGGTTCTAATTCACCAGGTCTTTTATGGCTTGGCCTAAGATTCTACTTTCTAACAAACTTCCACATGAGGTGTTGCTAGTCTGTAGACTACACTTTGAGTATGAGGGCCATAAAGCACCACTTCTTTTAGATGGATGCCTCTATGGCAAATGATTTTTGTTTGAGATACTGGACAAAGAGACTAGTCTGCTTTCTAGGCCAAAGACCTCATTTCCTACAGAGCTGTCCCCAGGGCTGAGGGATTCGATATCCCTTGCTGCACACCTCCACATATTTGAGCTGTGGCACCTATGTATAGAAGCTCTGCCCTAGGGAAACTTGCACATCTATACCAGGGACAAGTGCATGAGTATTCATAGTTGCACTGTTTGTGAAAACAAAAAATTGGAAATAACCTAAAAGTCCATTAATAGCAGAATGAATAAATAAATTATATTCTTCCATTGGATTTCTGAATAGCAGTGAAAATGAAGTAGAGCTGCACTCATTAACATGACTGAATCCCAGGAATGTAGCACAGGAAATATGGAAGAATACCTGCAGTATGTTATTGTTATAAAGTTTATAAAAAGAGCAAAAATAATGTCTAGAGATACTTATATGTGTGGTAAACTATTTGAAAACAAAAGCAAAAGAATAATAAACATGATTCAGGAGGGGGCAGGGGAATGCCTTCTGTGAGGAGCATATTGAGAGCTTCAACAATATTGGAAATGTTTTATTTTCAAAATTGGATGCTGAGTTCATGGGTATTTATTTTATTATGCATATATATGTATATATACACATACATACATGTGTATCAATACATACATGTACGTACACATATACCTGATATGATTTCATTTTATGGTTTTGAGACAGGGTCTCCCGCTTTCACCCAGGCTGGAGTGCAGTGGCAAGATCTTGGCTCACTGCAACCTCCTCCTCCTGGGCTCAAGCCATCCTCCCACCTCAGCCTCACCAGTGGCTGAGGACCACAGATGCGCACCACCATGCCCGACTAATTTTTGTATTTTTCAGTAGAGATAGGGTTTTGCCGTGTTGCCCAGGCTGGTCTCAAACTCCTGGGCTCAAGCAATCTGCCCACCTTGGCCTCCTAAACTGCTGGGATTATAGGTATGAGCAACCACACCCGACCCTAATTTTAGACAATTATATCTTTCTCAGTTTTTACTTGGATACTGTTAAATATTCTTAATCACTGTTTTATGTTGGCAGTTTTAGTGATAATGTCAGTTATCTATTGCTGGTTTAAAATAACAATGATTTATTATTTTTCTTGGTTCTGTGGGTTTGCTGGGTAGTTCTGCAGGTTTTTCTTGAATTCACTCATGTGAATTCATTTTGCTGGAGGTTTGCGGGACTAGAAGATTCTAAGATGGCTTCACTCACATGTCTAGCAGTTGGTGCAGACTCTTCACTAGGGTTCCTATGTTTTTCTGTACGTGGCTAGACCAGCTTCCCTGCATGATGATCCATGCAGCATTTCAGAGTGGAAAGGTGTAAGCTGCAGTGTCCCTCGAGACTTGAGGTCTGGGACTTGTACACTTTTATTTCTGCCACATACTGTTGATTAAAGCCAGTCACAGGGTTTGCTCTGATTCAAAGGGTGGTAAAATAGACTCCATATTGATGAAAGGAACTGTAAAATATTGTGATGATGTTTTTAATCTTCCACAATGATAGTTTGTCTTCCTACTAAAAATGATGAAACAGTCAGCATATTTAGACTACCTTCTTTCCCCATTCCTCATATGTGCTTATGTTGTTTTTACACTGTTAGGACATATAACACATTTTGTTTTGTCACCATATTCCTATTTGTTTCAGTCTCAGAACTAAGGTTGTTTACATATATACACACACACTATACATAGACACACATACATACATGTGCAGGTATATATATGTAGATTTATTCAGTATATCGTGACTGCTCACCAGTAGTCTTTTGCCATAGGTTTTTCAGTTATCTCTTGGTTGGATAATCTTGAAGATTACCTTCAATAACTTACCCAGTATTTCTCAACCGGGAACGATTTTGCCTTCTAGGAGACATTTGGTATTTTGAGCTATCACAAAGACCAATGATGAGTCATGCACTTTATTCCAGAAGTTCAACCTCGTATTATGGTTAGGCTCTTACTTAGTTACATGTGAAATAAGGCATCTGGTTAGAAACAGCAAATGAGAAGTAGCAGTTTACAGTGCAAAATGAGATCTGAACTGATACTAGAAGTGTTTATGGAATTCAGAGACCACATTATTGCAGAGTCAAAAACCTCTTACTCACCTCCTTACCTGAGTCACCATTGCATAGTACAATAATCTGTGCAATAATTAGTATTCATAGAGATCATTAGTAAATAAAAGCTTTTTGAGTTCACTTTGTTTAAGAAGGTAAGGAAGATTGCGAAATATTTTAGGAAAATTGTCATTAAAGTTTATTAAAATATTTGATGAGTAATTTTTCAGTTTTTAAAAAATCATTTGTACCACCTTTTCTAGATATACTAGGTAAATGTGATGCTATTGAAGTTTCTACAAGAACTTCAGATAAACTATTTTGTTAGTGATATATATTATTATATAATTATATTATATATTATATACATTATATATAGTATTGTATGTGGTACTATATTATATATTAATATATTTCAAGTTTCTGTGGATGAAATAGTTTCTTCTCTTCAGTTGCAGATTCTTTATCCTGTCCTGTTATGCAAAATGTTCAGCCTCCCAAGTCCAGCCCAGTGGTATCCACTGTTTTATCAGGATCCTCAGGATCCTCATCAACAAGAACACCTCCCACTGCAAATCACCCAGTTGAGCCTGTGACCTCAGTTACACAGCCATCAGAGCTATTACAACAAAAAGGTATTTGAGATATTTATTATTGTATATGCACACAGACACACATACGTATTTATAGAAGATATGAAAAAAAGTTACTTATAATCTCAATCCAAACACAACTTTTGGAATATTAACTTACAGTGTCTCATATATGTTTTACATAATTACATACCATTTTGTATTTTGCTTTTCTTTTTATTACACATAGTTCTTCATATATATTGAGTCTTTATTGCTCTTTTTATGGCTAATTATTCATTGTGTCAATGTATAATGGTTATTTCATTCCTCTGTCATGGGACATTTATTTCCTATTTTTTAAAGGTTATTATAGTTTCTTTTAGGATAGAGAAGCCAAAACTTTATTATTTAGTGACTCTCCATATCCTATTTGATTATTTCTGTGCTTTTTGTTATTGATAACAGAAAGTAAGCTTTGACAGAATTTTGCAAATGAAAGGGGGTGAAAATGAAATTGTAACCCATACTCTTGCGTCATTGAAGAACTATATGATTTATTGTTTGTTTAATATTCTCCATGTGTTAAGTAAGTAAAAGGTAATAAAATGTGTTGTTTTGACCCTGCTTCCCCACATTGTTTCTTTTGGCAGTTTTTGTTTTTGTTTTTGTTTTTCCTGTCTGGCTAAAATTCCAAAGTATTGATGTTTCAGGTTAATATATGGCATTTTTTATTTGATCAGAGATGATTGAACTGTTTTCAAGAATCTGTAGTTTGTATTTCCAGAGCAACCATTGTATTATTTTAGGGACTGTACTCACTATGTAATGACAGCTCCTAACGTTGAGTGTGAAGAACCTTCTTATAGGTCTGAAACTGAGAAAAGGAAAAAAGCATGATAAATTCCTAGGGTGATCTCATTGCTTGTATCTGTTGAGTGTCTATGTGATCAACAGAGACCTTTCTGTCAATTGATCAGATGATACATTACACATTTTCTTACTTGGTTTTTTAGGAAAAGTAACTGCAGCACCAAAGAGTGCCTGTTGATTCTCAACAAACCAGTGGGTATACTGGAAACTGAATTTAGTTCTTAAAAGTATTTGCCTTCAAAGTGAAGGTCCAGTAGAAGTTTTGTTTATCACAAATCAAAAAAGCTTTTAGGATAGATCAAAGCCCTAACTAAATGAATGGTGTCTTTTCTTGTTTTTCCTCTACATTGATGACTGCCTTCCATTTCTTAAATGTTTCGCTTTTTTTGGCCTATTACATTGCCCCTGCTGCTTATTTCTTCCTATTGTTTTTTTTTTTTTTTTGGAGTTGGGAGTCTTGCTCTGTCACCCGGGGTTGAGTGCAGTGGCATGATCTTGGCTCACTGCAGCCTCTGCCTCCTGGGTTCCAGCGATTCTCCTGTCTCAGCCTCCTGGGTAGCTGGGATTACAGGCGCACGCCACCTCGCCCTGCTAATTTTTGTATTTTTGGTGGAGATGGGGTTTTACCATGTTGACCAATCTGGCCTCGAACTTTTGACCTCAGGTGATCCGCCCACCTTGGCCTCCCAAAGTGCTGGGATTACAGGCGTGAGCCACCACGCCCAGCCCCTATCATATTTTCTTTTTTACCATCTTACTATAAATACCATCCTATCATCTTTTTATAAATAATATTTTGTAAATGGTTTGCCCACTAAACAATTGCAATTATGTTTCTTCTTTTTTCTATTAAAATATATTTTGAAAGTAGAAGAAGCTGCCATTTATTGAGCACATACAATATATCAGATACTTTATATCTCATTAATTCACATATTAATCTTATGACATAGATATTCTTCCTTTTTTACAGATGAGAAAAGTGAGATTGACAGAGGTTAGGTAACTTGCCCAAGACTACAAGTTAATAAGTAGCAAAGCAAAAGATTTTTTAACTCAGATCTCTCTATCTTGTATTCTTTCTATAAAATAAAGCTGAATTTTTGTTGTCATTGGCTGTTGACAAACTAACTCTTGGTTTACCTAAGATAAGTTTCTTGCTTAAGTAACAGAAAATATCATACTGGGGACATCTGAATTGTAGTTTTTATTGTTCCTTTTTCATAAGTAGGAGAATGGCCTCTTAGTGACTTCTTTGTCTTTGGAGAGATCTGAGCTATACAACCTAATTGAGTCAGGGCTACCACATATGGTGGTGCGAATTGTCATTTGCATGAATGGAGCTTCTTCGAATTGTGCAGTGTATCATCTGCATAGGGTTTACTGTGGGCCTGATATGAACTACTAAAGTGATTATACTTAAAAAGAGATTAGCTTTTTTCTTCCAAATTCAAAGACACCGTTGCTTAGTTGTTCTCCCAAGACTAAGCATTTTTTTTCTGTTTTTAGGGGAGACATCAAATTTTTGTTTGGGTAGCCCCTAAAATTTTTTTTATAAACTACCTACTTGAACATTTTTTAGATTGATATCTAAAATTTTTCATCAAAAATTTAAATACTTGTAGTTATGCAGTTTTTAACATATATGCTGGCTGACTTTTAAAACTGAGATGTTACATTATTCTTTCAAATGTACCCTTTGGAATGATACCTACCATCGTCCTTTTGCAAAACACACAAATACCCCTTCTTTAACATTTGGGAAGTTTACATTTTTCATTTTTCTATTTGATGGCATATCCCCTTTCCTTAATGTAATAATAAAATATATGCTTACACTAGAAACTCTTTTATCACTCTATTGTGCTTTTCCATGACCATAATATATAAAATGAAATGTTAAAATTTGTTTTATTATCTATGACTTTAAGTCTCTAAATAGTATATTTTCTTTTGAATGAAGCCATCAATCATTACAACTTTTTCTCTCTCTCTTTTTTTTTTTTTTTTGAGACAGACTCACTCTGTCACCCAGGCTGGAGTGCAGTGGCATGATCTTGGGTCACTGCAGCCTCTGCCTCCCAGATGCAAGCGATTCTCATGTCTCAGCCTCCTGAGTAGCTGGGATTACATGCATGTGCCAACATGCCCAGCTAATTTTTGTATTTTTAGTAGAGACGGGGTTTCACCATGTTGACCAGGCTGGTCTCAAACTCCTGGCCTCAAGTGATCTGCCTGCCTAGGCCTCCCAAAGTGTTAGGATTACAGGCGTGACCATTGTGCCTGGCCAATCACTACAGCTTTTATTGTTGGTATAAAATTGGTCAAAACAACATAAACATCATGAATTTTGGTATTTATGTGAAGTACGTTTTTATTGGAAATACATCTTTCAGTGAAATGAATGGGCTGTCTCCTCTCCCCACTATAGTTTTGTATCTGAGTTGAATATGATTCATTGTTAGAATATGATAATGTTCAGATAAATTTCATTCTTAGTTTTTATTTTCATACATATAATTGCTGAGAAACATTGTTCACATAAAGTAGATTAGAATTACTTGTAAGAATTCTGCTAAAGCAGTATCATTCTGTTTTGCTTTATTTTGCTTTTACTCTTTTTAACCTTCTGAGTTACATGTCAGAAATTATTGTTTGTTAGATTTTATTTTCCAGGTGGTAGTTGTTAACATTATTATTTCATATAACAGTTTGTAATTTGCAAATCCCTTTAACTTTTTCTATCTGTCTTACTTTCTCATCACATGGAACAAGCATATCATATGTTTTCTTCCTTTTGTAAGTGAGGAAATTTAAATTTAGAAAGGTTACATGTCTTACCTTAAGACCTACAGAGTTGGCCGGGCGCAGTGGCTCACGCCTGTAATCCCAGCACTTTGGGAGGCCGAGGCGGGCGGATCACGAGGTCAGGAGATCGAGACCATCCCGGCTAAAACGGTGAAACCCCGTCTCTACTAAAAATACAAAAAATTAGCCGGGCGTAGTGGCGGGCGCCTGTAGTCCCAGCTACTTGGGAGGCTGAGGCAGGAGAATGGCGTGAACCCGGGAGGTGGAGCTTGCAGTGAGCCGAGATCCCGCCACTGCACTCCAGCCTGGGCGACAGAGCGAGACTCCGTCTCAAATAAAAAAAAAAAAAAAAAAAAAAAAAGACCTACAGAGTTGGAAGGAGAGGTACCCAGGCCCATTGCACACCTTTTGCCTTCAAACTCAGTACTTGTTTTACTCTATCAGCAGTTATTCAAAATATTTTGAATTTCCTTCTACCATGGCCAATATAGCTTACCATACTTTTTATTATTTTTATTTATTTATTTATTTTGAGACAGGGTCTTGTTTTGTTGCCTAGGCTGGAGTGCAGTAGCTCAGCTCACTGCAGCCTCGACCCTTGAGACCACTGGGGCTCAAGCGATATTCCCACCTCAGCCTCCTGAGTAGCTAAGGCCACAGGCACACACTGCCACATCTGACTAATTTTTTAAAAAATTATTTGTAGAGATGAGGTCTTACAGTGTTGCCCAGGCTGGTCTTGAACTCCCAGGCTCGAGTGATTATCCCACCTTGGCCTCCCAAGGTGCTCAGATTACAGGTGTGAGCCACTGTGCCTGGCTACCATACCCTGTAAGTGTGTTTTTATCAAAAACAAGCTATGATACAGGCCATTTATTTTATGGATGATATCTCCATATGACCTAATTGGCAAAAGCAGTCCTCAAAACTTATCAAAGCATATACTACTAAGTACTAACAGATTCACTTGTTGGTAAATATTTTTTTGTTAAAAGGATGTAGAAAGTGTTAAATATTTTATAAAATATAAAAATTAAGAATTGACTATATTTTATCATGAAAAGGTTGTAAAATATTTTATTGCACATGTCACATTGACTGAAATCACAGAATTTTTATCTTGAGTTTTAGTGAGTATGTTTTAAAAACACTTGGTAGTCCTAGAAAATACTCCATTTGTTTTTAAAATAATTACAACTGGGCATGGTGGCTCACGCCTGTAATACCAGCACTTTGGGAGGCAAAGGTGGGTGGATCATTTGAGGTCAGGACTTCGAGACCAGTCTGGCCAACATGGTGAAACCTCATCTCTACCAAAAATGTAAAAAAAAATTAGCTGGGCGTGATGGCACAGGCCTGTAATCCCAGCTACTCAGGAGGCTGAGGCAGGAGAATCACTTGAACCGGGGAGGCAGAGGTTGCAGTGAGCTGAGATCATGCCACTGCACTCCAGCCTGGGTGACAGAGTGAGACTCTGTCTTAAAAAAAAAAAAAAAATTAATAAAATAAAATAATTAGCAGGACTGAGTGTTGGTGGGTGGTTCTTTTTTTTCTAATGATGTGCCCTGAAAAGAACAGCTGAAAATAATTTTAATTGAATATACCCAAAAACATGTTTTTAAAGTTAGTGATATAGCTCACATTTATTTTGTATTTAGTATGTGTCATGCACCATTCTAAGCATTTGAAATATATTAACTCATTTAATCCTTACCACAACCATTTGAAGTATTACCCTATTTTATAGATAATGTAAGTGAAGAACAGAGGTTAGTAACTTGCTCAAGGACATACCAGTAGTTAAGTGATAGAACCTGGAGTTGAACCCAGAGTCCTCTTCTTTATCCATAATGTTACGCTCCTTCTCTGTTCAGTATTTCCTACTGTGTACTGTATAATAAGAGACTGGCATACATTACAGCAGTGTGTCATAGTAAAAATTAGGATAAACTAAGGTCATGTGTTTCCTTTGTAAAATAAAAGAAAGGCTGTCATTAACACGGGCACTTTTTTAGGTGGGTAAGTTTGAGGAAAGAGTACTTACAGGAATCGACATCTGAAAATTGATTTCCTTAAAACCATTCTTTTGTGGGGACCCTTGAAAAGTCTTCTAGTGTGTACACCTAGTTTCCAGTTTAGGAAAGAGAGCAGTTACTCAAAAGTCTGAACTCCTGAATTTAAAAAAGCTAATCTCCACAAGAGATTTGTTCTCTTAAGATTAGTTTGATTTATTCGTGGTATAGCTGTATCTAGGGAACACTGAAGAATATTAAGCAGCACCAAGGATATGTTCTCCTGGAAAGATTTGCCTGAGGGTACTTTAATGGTTGGTTATTTAAACTAAATGTCCTTTCGAAAATATTGGGGCCCTTTGAATAACAGAGTGCTGCATCATGTTAGATTCTATAAAGTGTTTCATGTTTCTTGGTTGAGTAGATTTATACCTTGGAAGCTCTGGTTAAGATAGAATAAATTATGATATAACATTCCTTCTCCATTCGGTGGTGGTGGTGGTAGAGGTAGCTACTCCATGTACATACATTTCTACAGTGGGTTTCAGGCTGAGCTCTGGGAAAGGATGTCATATTTTACCACCTTATATATTTGATCTGTGTATCTCATACATAGATTTTGGCTCTTAAAGAGAATCTGAATTAGAGGCACTTCAGGAAGCATTCACATATCCTAGAATAGATGACTTGGCTATCAACCCCTTGCCGGCTGTAGCTCCCCATTTGTTGTAGTCTGTATGTGCTATACCCAACCTAGAGCAGGGCGCCATGCCTGGCTAATTTTTTTTTTTTACTTTTTACAGAGATGGGGTCTCACTATGTTGCCCAGGCTGGTCTTGAACTCCTGGCTTCAAGTGATACTCCTGCCTGAGCCTCCCAAAGTGCTGGGATTATAGACATGAGCAATTGTACTTGGCTCAAATTTTTGTTTTAATTGGGCTTTTTGTCAGAAGAATGTGCCACTCTGAATTTGTTTTTGATATTGTTTCTTGTATTACTTGAACCTATTTTACATTTATTTTTATTTTCTCATGAAGTGCTGGGATTATAGACATGAGCAATTGTGCTTGGCTCAAATATTCGTTTTAATTGGGCTTTTTGTCAGAAGAATGTGCCACTCTGAATTTGTTTTTGGTATTAAGTTTGTTTCTTGCATTACCTGAACCTATTTTACATTGATTTTATTTTATTTTATTTACATCGATTTTTATTTTATTGATTTTTATTTTATTTACATTGATTTGAATTTGGGATACTGCTATTTTACCGATATTAAAAGATGTTTCAGCAAAGCTAGCAGATTTTTCCATGACTTTTTTTAGTCATTGTTGAAAGATCAAAGCTTCATTCATCTACAGTTTAACCTTTGCTTCTAAACTAAAATTTTATTCTTAATAGTTTTTTTCTTACTCTAGTGATGAGTTGTTTATCCATGCTAATCAAGTATGCTAGTCACCTGAAAAAAAAATAAAGAGAGCATTAAAGCACTATCGTGTGATTTTGGTGAGGCAGGGCTTCATTGTACCCCAATATTAGGAAATGTTCTTAAAAATCCCCACTATGTTTCTGGCTTTCTTTTTTCTTTTTTTTTCAAAGTAGAGCCATGAGATTTTCCATACAAGGATGTTTATTCTTATTTAAGAAGTGTTTTCATTTTCTTTTTTCCTTTTCTTTTTCTTTTTCTGAGATGGAGTCTTGCTCTGTCACCAGGCTGGAGTGCAATGGCACAATCTCTGCTCACTGCAACCTCTGCCTCCCAGCAGAGGCGATTCTCCTGCCCCAGCCTCCCAAGTAGCTGGGACTACAGGCGTGCGCCACCACGCCCAGCTAATTTTTGTATTTTTAGTAGAGACAGGGTTTCACCATGTTGGCCAGGATGGTCTCGATCTCTTAACCTTGTGATCCTCCCACCTTGGCCTCCCAAAGTGCTGGGATTACAGGCGTGAGCCACCATGCCCGGCCTTCATTTTCAATTAAGATAATTTTTATTTTTCCTCTTAAAAACGGTATATATGTTAATTTTTAAAGTCCTCATTCTATCAGATCAAATAATAGAAATACCCAATTACATTTTTTTAAGGGAATTAGTAAACAGTTACCAATACCAGTTTATTGTGCCCTTTTCTACAGAATCTGCCTTCTGTTGGTATATTTCACACAGGACCAGTCTTATTCACCTGTTTCGGACTCACATGTAGGCAATAGGATGACACTGACATGACTGGCTGTCTCAGAAAATTCAGTTTTCTGTAATTCTCACACTTGTAGGGTCACAGATAATAAGTCCCCCAGCCCCCCGTCCCCCACTCCCAGAGTATCTACTGTTAGCAGAGAACTATGCCGAATACAGTTTTTTTCTTTAACTGTGATTCTTCTTCTGTTATGGGAACTGAGTTTACCATCAAGGTAACATTAGCAGAAGGAAGGGGTACCACGTATGTGTTTTGTATGCTGTACAAAATCAGTTCACTATAAATGATCACTGCCCACCAAAAATGCACAATCCCAAAGGAAATATACCACAGGGCCATAAGGTCAAAGGAGATAAACATGTATAGAGCTCAGTAAACTTTTCAGACAATATTATTGCAGCTTCCTAAATACTAACTGTTTTGGACAATACATGATAGATACCTTTTCACACTTAAGCCAGTCCATATTAAAGCTGCTTTTACTAAACTGCTTTGCAGAGATTTTCTAATGGTTCTAGTTTTGATAATGAATTTGCTAATATTAATATGCATGTTGGGATGTTCTTTGGAATGTCAGAGTTCTTTCTCACTTTTAATGCAATGTCAAATTTTTATTTCTCATCTTTCCTGTTGGTTTGACTCTTATGTTTGTGCTTTCCACTTTACAGGCGTGCAGTATGGTGAATATGTTAATAACCAAGCTAGCTCCGCACCAACTCCCTTGTCATCAACTTCCGATGATGAGGAAGAGGAGGAGGAGGATGAGGAAGCAGGTCTGCTTTAGCTTTACACCAGTTCTTGATCTTTTCCTGCTCAAGTTTTCTTTTTGTTTCCACAGTCTTACTTAGCCTTTTAAAAAAGAGTCTTTGAAGATTTAGCATGATGAACTTACGAGGTTTGCATTATAGAAGATGTGTCACATAAAATAAGGTGTTTGTTTTGTTTTTCCTCCTTTAGGCATCTTTGCCATATTGTAAATAATAGAATCAGAATTCCTCTTTCATGACAGTAGAGTGCATTCTTCTTTCAGAAATGCATTTTCTCCCATGTCACATGCAAAATAATGAGTACTGACTGAAGCTTTTGGCTGATGATTGCTCTAGCATCGTTTTAGGAATAATGCTTCATTTTCTGCTTTGCCTGCTACTTTAGTCTAATCAAAATAAGCCATGTGGATTTTATAATAGGGATAGAGAAATAGGACAGTGTTTCAGTGAGGTCCTTTTGGCTTTTCTTGTCATGTATTTAGAAGGCCCAGAATTTGTAGTTATTTTCCTGCTTCATGAAATAGTACATATCTTGCTAGCTGAAGAAGTTGTGCATATGGTTATGTGTTGCAAACTGTTTAATATCTTTTTCTGCCTTTGATAGGTAGAACACTGCTAAAAAATTAAGCAGTTCAGTTCCTCCATTAATTCTAATACAGGTTGAATATCCCTTATCTGAAATGCTTGGGGCCAGAGTGTTTCAAATTTCATATTTTTTCAGATTTCAGAATATTTGCTGCATATACATAGTGAGATAGTTTGAGGATGGGACTCAAGTCTAAATACTAAATTCATTTATGTTTCATATACACCTATACACATAAACTAAAGATAATTTTGTACTATATATATTTTTTTATTTTGCTTTGTTTTTTATTTTTGAGACAGGATCTCACTGTGTCACCCAGGCTGGAGTGCAGTGACACAATCATGGCTCCTGCCAACCTTCGCCTCCCAGGCTCAAGCCATCCTCCTGTCTCAACTCCCACATAGCTGAGACTACAGGCCACCCTGCACAGTTAATGTTTGTATTTTTTGTAGAGATGGGGTTTCGCCATGTTGCCCAAGCTGGTCTTGAACTCCTGCACTCAGGGAATCCGCCCACCTCAACCTCCCAAAGTGCTGGGATTACAGGCATGAGCTACCTTGCCAGGCTTGTACTATATATATATATATATATATATATATATATATATATATATATACACACACACACACACACACACACATATTATACATATGTTTTTTATATATGTATTTATATATATGTATTTATGTATTTATATATATATATATATGTATGTATATATATATATTTTTTTGAGATGGAGTCTTGCTCTGTTGCCCAGGCTGGAGTGCAGTGGAGCGATCTCGGCTCACTGCAAGCTGCACCTTCCGGGTTCACACCATTCTCCTGCCTTAGCCTCCCGAGTAGCTGGGACTACAGGCACCCGCCACCACGCCTGGCTAATTTTTTGTGTTTTTAGTAGAGATGGGGTTTCACTGTGTTAGCCAGGATGGTCTTGATCTCCTGACCTCATGATCCGCCTGCCTTGGCCTCCCAAAGTGCTGGGATTACAGGTGTGAGCCACAGTGCCCGGCCTTGTGCAATATTTTTAATAATTTTGTACATGATACAGAGTTTTGCCTGTGACTTGTCATATGAGGTCAGGTGTGGAATTTTCCACTTGTGGTGTCATGTCAGCCCTCATAAAATTTTGGATTTTGAAGCATTTAAGATTTTGGATTTTCACATTAGGGACTCTCAACCTATAGTTTAAGACTGAACCAATAACTGATGATCTTTCAAGTTATTATATGTGACCACAATTCTCCTGTTCTAAATGTGAAGATCTGTTCTGCAAACAATCATTTTAACCAAAAATTTCTATTTCCTGTGCATTTAAAAATATTTAAATCATTATATGCGACTCGGGATAAAAATTGGGGGTGACAGGTGGGAAATAATTTTTCTTACTCTAAATACGTAAGTACCCATCTATGTTTCTGAAATTTTTTTTGTAATTTTAAATTTTAACAAAATTTCAAACTCACAGAAGTTAAAAGAAACCCGCATGTACGCTTTACCCAGATAAACCATTTTTGCCACATTTGCTTTATAATTCTCTATCAACATATTTTTGCTATACCATTTGCAAGTAAATTGGAGACATCATGAACTTTACCCCTAATACTTTATGTTTCCTAATCATAAGGTCAGTGTCTTAAATAACCAAAATACAGTTATCAAGAAATAGAGCATTGATGCAATAATATCTGATAACACTGTTCATTGTCAAATATCAGTTGTCTGAAGTAGATCAGCTATAAAGCTGTTTTCATGGTCCAGGATCCAATTTGGATCATGCGTTGAATTTAGTTGTCATGTTAGACTCCTTTAGTCTCCAACAGTTCATTAGCCTCTTTCCTTGCCTTTACATTTTCAAAGAGTACAGACCAGTTATTTTGTAAAATGTTCCCCAGTGTGGGTTTATCTGAGGTTTCCTCATGATTAGATTCAGACCATGCATTTTTCGGAGGATTACCACTAAAACAATGTTGTGTTCTCAGTGCATCCTATTTGAGGCACATGATGTCAATTTGTTCTCATATTGATGAGGTTAACTTTTATTATTTGAATAAGGTGGTATCTGCCAGGTTTCTCCACTATAAAGTTACTGTTTTTCCCTGTTAAAATTAATAAGTCATTTGTGAGGAGTTTCTTTGAGACTATTTAAATGTTGTGTTCTCCAAAAAAAGAAAAAAAAGAGAGAGAGATCAGAAAGATTTGGTGGCTAGGTGCAGTGGCTCACGCCTGTAATCCCAGCACTTTGGAAGTCCAAGGCAGGCGGATCACCTGGGGTCAGGAGTTTGAGAACAGCCTGGCCAACATGGTGAAACTCTGTCTCTACTAAAAATAACAAAAATTAGCCAGGTGTGGTGGCGCACACCCATAGTCCCAGCTACTCTGGACGCTGAGGCAGGAGAATTGCTTGAACCTGGGAGGCAGAGGTTGCAGTGAGCCGAGATCACGCCACTGCCCTGCAGCCTGGGTGGCAGAGTGAGACTCTGTCTCAAAAAAAAAAAAAAAAAAAAGATTTAGCATTTATGGCTTTTTTCTAATGTCTTGTTTATTATTTTTCTTGAGTATATTATAGATTTAAAATTCCTGAGTTTTTATGGCATTTGGATTTTAATAATACCTAACATTTTTAGCACTTACTGAATGCCAGTCGTAGCAATACAGAGCTAGTATGTCTCCCTTGGTTTTTGTGTCAGTTTTTCTAGACTCACATCCCGACTTTTCACTTTCTAGCTTTGTGATAATGATAGTAACAATTACATATAGTTGTTTTAAGGATTGAAGATACTGTTTGTAAAGAGCTTAGAACAGTGTGTGGCAAATCGTAAACACTCAGAAAGATTAGCTGTCATTACCAGCATTGAGATTGTGTTATTGTCTGTTCTTCTCAACAATTCTGCAAGGCAGAAATAATCAACTCTATTTTACAGATGAATTAACTGCAGCCTGAACATATTAAGTAACATTTGTCTGTGGTCACACAGCTGCTCAGTAGGCAGAATAGAGATTCAAACTGAGGTCTTTCTGCAGAAAAGTATGAAAAAGAAGGTGTCTTCCTATCTAGTGAGAGAACATAAACGGCCAGAGTAGGTGGGAGTAAAGGGCACATGACGGTAGTCACTACAGTGTTAAACGTACATGTTATCTTACTCCTGTGTTTTTTTCTACTCCACAAAATAAGACTATATTATTGACATTTTTACTATAATCTTAGTGTTCTCTATTAATGGTTTTTTAAAATAATATCTTTGTTGGTTGCAAATTAAAGAAACATTCTCAGTGGTGGGATGGGAAGAAAGTCTAGCTTTAAATGGAATTTTATTTTTTAAACCTTGCCCAGTTACAATAATTTATTTCATATGTACAGAGGTAAAAAGAAAGTGGCTGAAATTGGTGTGGGAATTACATGTAAGTGTCTAATAAAGTAGCGATTTGGAGTGCTCTACTTCTTAAGCATTTCAGTGGCATTTATTCCCTTTATTTGTGAGATTTTTGTGTGTTTAGTTTATGTGGGATTGTTCTCCAACTTTGAAAAAAATTTACTGAACAGTGATGAAAAATCAACCAGCAGGGTGGAGAATCAGAAGTTACTGGGTTAGCAGTGTTAAGTGTTGAGGAAAGTTTGGCTGAAAGCTGAGGAAAAAAAAACAATTGGAAAATCTATCAGGAGGTATCTGTCTTGTTTTGTTTTTTCCCCCTCTGTAGCACTGTTTGGAGATAGAGGGAAGAGAGAACACGAAGAACATTTCCTGAGTCTCTTGCTAATATCTGTTATACCTGTGATATCTGTGAAGTTGTAATAGTAGCTCTGTGGAGTAGGTGTTATTATGAAATCTGTTGTTACTAATGAGGAGCAGCTCAGAGATGTCAGGTGTCCATTTTCCCTCAACTGTTAGGGAGTGGACATGGAGTTTGAGTTATAGCCTTTTCATGTTTTGTGCAGGTTATGAGGAAATCTCAAATTATCTGGCTAATTTCAAGTTTAGCAATACTAGTAAGTATATTGCCTTTGTTGACCCATATTGCTTGTCTTTTAGAGACAGAAAACAGCTTAAGCCTTTTTTTAAAGGCTTAATTGCTTTCTGATACTCTTCTCTAGCTTCAAGGATTCTGAGCTATTCTTCTGATCTGTTCTCCTCGTTACTTCTTTAGATTTCAGCTCCCTCTCTTTTTCTCTTTCCTTTTTTCTTCTTTCAAGCTGTAACATAGAGCCAGTAGAAGAATGAGAGAAAATTATTTCCAAGTACTGCATTTCATACTTGACCCCCATTTGATCTCAGAATACTTATTATCAGTAATTGTAGTGTGAAGTGACTGAGGCAAATCGATGCTATCCAAGGATTAAGCATGGGACAAGTACCAAAGCCATTGATTCAGTGGAAACCAGCTTGTATGCTGAAAGCAGTATTTTGCTTGGTATCAGGATTCCAAAGATCAATATATTAGCATAGCTCTGGCCATCAAATACGTATAATATGATAGGGAAACAGATACCATATGATTACAGTACAACTTGAAAAGTGTAAGCAGGCGCGGTGGCTCACGCCTGTAATCCCAGCACTTTGGGAGGCTGAGATGGGCAGATCACCTGAGGTCAGGAGTTTGAGACCAGCCTGGCTAACATAACGAAACCCCATATCTACTAAAAATACAAAGATTAGCCGGCCGTGGTGGCTGGCGTCTGTAATCCCAGCTGCTTTGGAGGCTGAGGCAGGAGAATCACTTGAACCCGGGAGACAGAGGTTGCAGTGAGCTGAGATCACGCCACTGCACTACAGCCTGAGTGACAAGAGTGAGACTCTGTCTCAAAAAAAAAAAAAAAAAAAGAAAAGTGTATTAATTCAGGATTGAGAATGTGCTCCTGCATAGAAGAGGAAATGATTTTCTGTGGGCATACAGGAAAAGTTTGACAAAGGATTTGAAATTTGAAGGATGAGTAGTAATTTGCCATGTGAAGAAAGGAAATTATGGCTAACAGACATAATGCATAAACAGAAGAAAAAAATGTAGTATTGGGTCAAGAGTCAGAAGTTTGGTGTAACTGCAAAATAAGGTAAAAGGGAGGATGGTAAAGGGACAGGTGAGAGATGCAGGTGGAAAGGACAAGTAGAAGCCAAATTTTGAAGTTTGTTTTATGACAGTGTGAAGGCATTTACACCTTATTCACTAAGATGGTGGGGAAATTAGTAAAGGCTGTTTCTAAGCATGTTCAGAATGTTAACACATAAGTTTTCAATCAGGTACTGTTTTATAAAAATACCTTTTTGATTTATTTGCCAGTAATGGCATGACCTCTGATTAATGCGTTACTTAGAACGCATTAATCTAAATAGCAAAATATCATGAGTCTGTTTAGCTTACTGATTTATTTGGGTTTATAACAATTATCATTGCTTTGATATTTTGACAGGTTCACAAATAGAGATTTGCAGTCATTTTTTCTTCTGAAAGTGAATTTAAAGTAAACTAGCAGATTTCAAACTATTCAGTAAACAAAATAGAATAAAAAAATTAATACTTTAAAACTTATAGCCTTATTAAAATGAACAATCTTTAAAATATTAACAGTTGATTTGACATGAAAGAAACTAAACATCTTAACTGAGTAGTAGTATGTTCTTTGGAATAAGTTCATATATAAGTAATCTTTTATCTTTGGACTTTATTTTTTTTCAAGAGTAGTTATTTCTTGATATATACATTTAAAAGTTTTTCTTAGAATGCCCATGATATTTTTAATAGCAGTTTTGAGAAATAATTCACATACCATAAAATTCACCTATTTAAGTTGTGCTGTTCTGCAGTTTTTAGCATATTCACAAAGTAGCAACCATCACTACTATGTAATTCCAGAACATTTTCTTCACCCCAAAATAGAAACTTCATATGTTTTAGCCTTCTTCCCATTCTACCCTCCCCGCACAACCACACGCAGCTCTAGGCAGCCATTAATCCTCTGTCTCTACAGGTTTGTCTATTTTGAACATTTTATATGTAGAGATCATATAATATGTGGTTGTTACTTGCATCTTTCTTTTAACATAATGTTTTCAAGGTTCATCCACATTATGGCATATGTCAGTACTTTATTATTTTTTGTTACCAAAAAATATTCCATATGTGAATGTATCACATTTTATTTATCCATTCATGAGTTGATGGACATTTGGGTTGTTTCTGCTTTTTGGCTGTTATGAATACTCCTGCTGTGAACATTTGTCAACAAGTTTTTGTGTAGGTTTATGTTTTCATTTCTCTTGAGTAGAATTGCTGGGTCAGAACTCTGTATTTAACTTTTGAGAAACTGCCAAACTGTTTTCCAAAGTAACTGCACCATTTTACAATCCAACGAGGATTCTAATTTCTCCACGTCTTTGGTAATAAGGTTTGGCAAAGATGTGGAAAAATTGGAATCCTCATTCGATTGGTTATAACCATCCTAGTGGATGTGAAATGTTATCTCGTTGTTTTGATTTTCATTTTCCTAATGGGATTGTGATGTTGAGCATCTTTTCATGTGTTTATTGGTCATTTGTTTATCTTCTTTGGATAAATATCTGTTCAAATCTTTTGCCCATTTTAAATTTGGTTATTTGTTGTTTTATTGTTGAGTTGTAAGAGTTTGTTACATATTCTGGATATTAACCCCTTATCAGATATATGATTTGCAAATATTTACTCTCATTCTGTGGGTTGTCTTTTTACTTCTTGATGATACGGTAACCTTTAGAGCACAAAAGTTCTTAATTTTGATGAAGTCCAAATTATCTTTTTTCTTTTGTTGCTTGTACCTTTGATGTCATATCTAAAAATTCATTTAGTCATGAAGATTTATTCCTGTATTCTAAGAGTTTTATAGTTTTAGCACTTACATTTTATGTCTATGATCCATTTTGAGTTAGTTGTGGTGTAGGGAAGGGGTCCAGCTTTGTTCTTCTGCGTGTGGATATGTCTAGTTGTTCCAGCACCATTTGCTGAAAAGAATATTATTTCCCCATTGAAATGTCATGGTAAATTGTTTAGTTTTATTAAGGAAAAATATGCATAACATAAAATTAACTGTTTTAAATTGTATAATTCAGTGGCATTTAGTACATGTACAGTGTTGTGCAGTCCCCACTTCTATTTAGCTCTATCTAATTTTGTGAAGTACTAGACATTTTCATCATCCCAAAAGAAAATCCTACACTCAGTCACTCCCCATTTTCCCCTCCCCTCAGCCTGGGTCTTTCATATAAATAGAATTATATATATTATATATTATAATATATATGGTATATATATGATATATATGGTATATATATGATATATACATGTGATATATACATATGATAATATATATGGTCTTTTTTGTTTGATTTATTTCACTTAAGCAAATTTTCAGGTTTCATTCACATTGTAGCGTGTATCCATACTTCATTTTTATGGCTAAATAATATCCCATTTTATAGATATACCATATTTTGTTTATCCATTCATCTGTTGATGAATATTTGGAGACTTTTGACCTGATATATCAGCATTCTGCTTTAGTTTAAAATTCACAAATAAAAGGAACACAAAGGAAAGGGCATTACTTTCCATTCTTTATTAAGAGGAAAAATATATGTGCAAAATTGTTCTACTTATCACGAAGAAGGCACTGCATAAATATTAGTGTCTTCTACCTATTACTTATTTAATGGGTGTCTTCATATCCACTGTCTCATTTAGACCTTATAAGAACATAAAAAACCACACATAGGACATTTAAAAAATCGTTAGCATTTTGCAGAAGAGTTATATAGCAAGTTACCTTCACTTATTCTTAGGAGAAAAGAACCACAAAGTTACATAGCAAGTAAATGATGGAGTTGATGTAACTGCAGTCTTTGCCTCCAAATCATGTTCTTTGCTGATAAGAAAATGTTCCTACACAAAAAACATCAGCTATTATGCCCTGAGTCGGTATACCTGATTCTCATGTTCATCTAAAATTATTCAATGAAAAATAATTATGCATACCTGTTCCTTCCCTATTACAATTGAAAATTAACCTAAATGTAGTTTAAACACCAGTTATAATACTGGTATTAATAGCAAGGGATAACCTCTGTAGCACAGAATTTTGTCTTACTGTGAAACAAAGCAAGATCTCTAACATAATAGAAGGATCATGCAGATTTTTTATTTTATTCATCATAATATACGCTAGCATACGTACCCAGGATAATTGTAGGTCTCAAAATATTTGTTGAATGAATGGAAGAAGTATATTGCTTGTTCTTTTCATGTGACCTGTGACCACATTTCATCATAAATTGTCACTGAACTCTCATCTTAACAGGTTTTGAATGAGCACACATAATGAAAATTCTTATAGTCTAACATTTATATGAATTAGTGTGCCTTTCATTTATATTACCTTATTAAATATGGCAGGTGTTATTTAATCTCTATTCTGCAGATATGTAAACTGAGACACAGAAAAGCTTAGTAGCATGCCAGATAGCAACCTAAGCCACAGACTCCTCATTTATGAATGTCTCAGTGTGCTATGATATAAATAAAAGTCATTAAAATTTAATTACCTTAAAATACCCTAATATTGATAAAATATATTTAGTAGTATATTTGGTAGATGTAATCCTTAAGATGTGACTATATTAACATTTCTATCAACCTAAAGTTTTTGTTTATGTGTTTGACTAGTTTTAATAGTTTAATATCTGTTCTTCTCTAAGATACTTTACATGTTTAACTGAATTTTATCCCACTCATCAGCTTCATATTCTCTCCACTCTCATCTTCTATTCTTAACAGAAATTCATTGGTTTTTAAAATGTCTCTAGACATCAATCATTTTACTTTTTTACTAGAATCAGGAATTTTCCTAGTTCCGCAAAAACATCTTTTTCAAAATTGCCAAAGGCTGCTTTAAGATACTTTGTCATTTTAAACCTAGTAGATATTTTGGTTTTCCTTTTAGGTGTTGACAGCTCTTCTACCACAAGCAGTGCTTCTCCAATGCCCAACAGTTATGATGCCCTGGAAGGAGGCAGTTACCCAGGTAATTTGTTTTGTGCTTGCTTGATCTTCATTTTGAAAGTTATTGACCATCAGTTGCCTTCAAATGTGAACATGTATTACACATAATAGCAGGCTATATTTTTAACAAGAAAAAAAGGACATTTTTCTGGCACTTCTCAGCCTCAACTTAATAGCGTTGTCACTAACAACTATGAAGCTTGTTTCTGGGGCTATTATTTTTTGTTGTTATAATACTCTTTATCTTTTTCTAAAAGATTTTCAGTAGCCTTTCTCTTCTTTCCCCTTCTTTTTAAAGAATAACTACTCCTTAAATAAATTTTATATTTCTATTGTCATGCTTAGGTCTTTGAATTTGAATTCTTTTCAACCAGCCTCTGAGTATAGTCTTTGACTCTTTGCTCCCTCAATGGCTTCTGGCTGCTTCTAGTAGGTAAATAGATGCTACCTTCAACTTGGGGGTAGGTTTTGGAGACATCACTTTTAACCATATCTGGAAATCACTTTAGCCATTACATTCAAGTACAGGAGTAGATAGTATTGAAAGAAAAAACTATCATTTCATTTTAATATACTGTGATTTTTCTTGCCCTCCTGTCTCCTATCACTGACAACCTGACAACTGTACCTGATCTCTCTCTCTCTTTTCCTAATGATTCCAAGCTTCAAAACTAACAGAAAAAGCAGTTTTGCCCTTCTTTTTATTTCTTATCTCTTTGTTGATGATCCAGGATGAAGTTTAATTGAAGTTGGAATGTTCTATACTTAAAAAAAAAAAAAACCCATGCTATCTTGCTATCACTATTCTATGAATCAGTAGAAAACTAATCTTTTCAGCTCAGTATGGAATTCCCTTGTAATATTTTAAAAATACTTGAATAAACGACTCAGTTTTTTGTAGTTAAGGATTTTTCCCCTAGGAATTTTGTGTGTGTGTGTCTGTGTGTGTAAGAAGTTGTAAACCATTCCAAAAACAATCTCTTATCAAGATCTTCTAGAAGAGTTGCTTCATTTACTAAAAGATGAACAACCATATAGTATCCCATGAGCTCTAGATTAATGTGAAATGAAATGTCTAGTGTAGTATAGTTGAAAGATTCTGGCCCTGCAGTCAGACTTTGGTTTCTTTGTATTCATTCAGTCAACGAATTCTAATCTTATAATGAACTATGTGTTGAGAGTATTTCAGTAACCTTGGACAAGTTTTCTTTCTATTTATACTACACCAAAATTAAAGAACTACGTGAGCATCTGTAGCAGTAATGTTAAATGAATTGTAGGCCTACTATATGTCAGGTACTAGAATAGATCTATAGAAACCTAGAAATATTATTCTTTCCTGAAGAAGGGGAGAAGATTTAGACCTTCATGTTTATTGGAGTGCAGTGGCATGATCGTGGTTCACTGCAGCCTGGTACTACTGGGCTCAAGCCATCCTCCCTTTTCAGCCTCCCAAGTAGCTGGGACTACAGGTGCACACCACCATATCCAGCTTTTTTTTTTTTTTTTCTTTTCATAAAGATGGGGTCTCACTTTGTTGTCCAGGCTGGTATCAAACATCTGGCTACAAACAGTCCTTCCACCTTGGCCTTCCAAAGTGTTGGGATAATAGGCTTGAGCCTTTGCACCCAGCGCCATTGTTTTTTTTTATTTCTTATGCTGATAACTTGTCATGTTAAGAGAACTTTCTGCCTATGTTTCCATCACCATGAGGAGGGACAAGCAGGAGATCTAAGGATTATGACAGCATGTTGAAGGTCTTATCCTTTTAAGAAGTCTGGGAGGTTACCAGAAAGCCAGTAAGCTGATCCTTGCCTAATCAGCACAAGATGATAGCAGAATGTCTAGGAGTGTATCTTCAGAATTAGACCCAATAAGGAGATGTGATTCTTCAAGAAAAAAAAAAATAGATTGATTCAGTTAAATGTTTCTAAGAATATATTTTTGCAGAATCCCAAATGCTGGTGAAGGATATCTTACGAACTAAAATGAATGCACATTGTAGAGTTGACTTCAAAATAGGACTAAACAGTCAATATGCCAAATTGTTAATAATGGTTATGTGTAGAGTTTCTTTTTGTTGTTACTGTTTTTGTATATGATATTTAAGTTTTCTGCAGTTTTTTTGTTTTCCACTTTCTGTTTTAAATTTAAATAAGGGCATTCATTCATTAAATACATTTTATTTGACATTTATTACATACTAAACATTGTTCTAGGAGCAGGACACTATTCTAGATACTACCTTTTTTTTTTTTTTTGAGACAGAGTCTCGCCCTGTGGCCCAGGCTGGAGTGCAATGGCGCAATCTCGGCTCACTGCAGCCTCAGCCTCCTGAGTAGCTGGGACTACAGGTGCCTGCCACCATGCTCAGCTAATTTTTGTATTTTTAGTAGAGACGGGGTTTTACCATGTTGGCCAGGCTGGTCTCAAACTCCTGACCTCATGATCCACCCACCTCAGTCTCCTAAAGTGCTGGGATTACAGGAGTGAGCTACCACGCCCAGCCTCTAGACACTATCTTTCATACTTGACTAACAGTTTTGCTACTGCAAATAATGCATATTTTTAGGGGATTATGGAAACATGCTACTCCTTCCATAGTTAGTTTTTATATAGATGGTAGGTTTAGATAAAGCAAATTAGAGAAAAGAGTAGTTGGCACCCTTTTTATTGCTTGCTTTGTTTTGTGGTGCTTAGTCTCTGCTGAGAGAATTTTTTAAAACTTTATTAACTTTGTGTGTGCGTTTGTGTGTATTATATAAATATATTCTTATCTGTTAGAATTACCAACTCAAGGGGCTCACACCTGTATGCTCAGCACTTTGGTAGGCCGAGGTAGAAAAATCTCTTGAGCACAGGTGTTCAAGACCAGCCTAGGCAACATGGGAGACTCCATCTCTATTTTAAAAAAAAGAAATACCAACTAATGTATCTGTTGGTGAAGTGATGTAAAATATGGGGTGGAGTTTCTGTAAAAAGGAATAAAAAAAAGATGTAGTATGACAACATGTAAAACAAGATAACAAAATATTGATAATTATTGAAGCTTAGTGATAAGTATATGGGGTTCATCATTCCCCCTACTTTGTGTGTGTCCAAAATTTCTTAGAATAAAAAGCTTTAAAAAGTAAAAAGGAAATGTCAGGGGTTATGGACTGGATCAGGAGTCCAGTCTTTGTGGAGTCTTGATTTTCAGTTGTTAACACCATGTGTTTCCATTTTTTAGATATGCTTTCTTCATCAGCAAGCAGTCCTGCTCCTGATCCCGCCCCTGAACCTGATCCTGCTTCTGCTCCAGCTCCAGCTTCAGCTCCAGCTCCTGTCGTCCCTCAGCCTTCAAAAATGGCTAAGCCTTTTGGCTATGGCTATCCAACACTTCAGCCTGGTTATCAGAATGCTACAGCACCACTTATTTCTGGAGTACAGCCCAGTAACCCGGTATATTCTGGATTCCAGCAGTATCCTCAAGTATGTATTCAGTCATATACACACATTGTAACAGTTATAAAACTTAATTCTGACAAGTTACTGGTGGGATTTGTACCTGTGATCCAAGTGGAACTTAGGTACAAATACATGTCAGCCTAGATCAAACATACATAGAATTTGATCTCAGCTTTTTTGTGTGTATATATGTAGAAAAAGATTAAATGAAATATAAATATCACATTTTTAAAGAGGTTAAATCTAGATCAAGATATTAGATATGATTTTATTTTTCTTCATGATATCTTTATTTTTCAGAGTCTACAATTGCAAGTATTAATTTTATAATCAGAAAATTTAAGTAAATGTTAAGTTTTTAAAAAAATTTTATATTATCAAGCTGGCATTCTCCTTAGAAAATGACAGGTAAAATGTGATTTGGTCCCTACCCTGCATTTGAAGAACTTTATGACACATAACTCACCTTGATGAGAGCCTCCACACACATAAATATGCTCATAGGCTCACATGCTCATTTACCGCTGAAGTGGCTACATTGTCTGGGGTCTAAACCGGTGGTTCGTCATCTTGCAGCCAGGAAAATTTAGGATGCAGACACACACGTGGAGTTTATGGGTGGAAGTTTAATAGGCAGAAGAGAGGAGAAGGAGAAACAGCTTTCTCCATAGAGAAGGGCCTCTGAGTGGAAAACACTGGCTGGAGGTGGATGCACCAAATTTTATAGTCCATCTTGAGGAGGCAATGTCTTATTTACCTAGGGCTCGCAGATCGGTTCGATTAGTTGTGACATTTACATGAGGCCTTGGGGGAAAGGCTGGTTGCCCTACCCTAATCTTATTATGCAAATGAATTATCTTTGGCCAGCACCATCTTGTCTGCTCGTGTGACTGGCAGATAAGGGATGATGGAGCTGCCATCTTGAACATGTCTAGCCCCTAGTTCCTGCCAGCATTCACTCTTGCAGGCTCCCAGCTTGCTTGTCTGTGTCTGCAGCGCGACTTTACAGGCTGCTCTTCGTTAGAGAATGGTTTGGGGCTGCTTTTCATTAAAAAGAAAAGCCTTACTGAGGATTCCCATACCCTCACTATCTGCCTAAGTGATTTCTTTTTAACTCCTATATCACTGCTGCTAGGACCCATTCTGACATGACCTTTTCTGGAGCCACCTCATAAACTTAGCAGTTTAACAACTGATATGATATTTATACAGTTAAATACTTAACAGGACAGTATTACATTCACATCTATATTTATTGAAAGAAAATAAAATACAGGGAAACAATTTTTTTTTTTTTTGAGATGGCATCTCACTCTACTGCCTAGGCTGGAGTGCAGTGGCGCTATCTCAGCTCACTGCAACCTCCGCCTACTGGGTTCAAGCGATTCTCCTGCCTCAGCCTTCCGAGTAGCTGTGATTACAGGTGCCCACCACCATGCCCGGCTAATTTTTGTATTTTTAGTAGAGATGGGGTGTCACCATTTTGGCCAGGCTGGTCTTGAACTCCTGACCTCAAGTGATCCGCCTGCCTCGGCCTCCCAAAGTGTGCTGGGATTACAGGTGTGAGCCACTGCTCCTGGCCAGGAAACAATTTTAATGACAAGAGTATTGCTACTTACAGAAAACTGTTCTCAGTTGACTAACCTTATAGAAATTTTATGGTGAAGTAAGAATGAAAATGAGAAATAGGATAATCAGTGAGGAGTAGTGGCTTACTCATGTAGTTCTAGCTACTCAAGACTAAAGTAGAAGGATTGCTTGAGCTCAGGAGTTTGAATCTTGCCTGGGTGACATACCAAGAGCCCATCTTGAGCAGGGGTGGGGCAAAAGAAAAAGGAAAATTATTTGTTTCTGGAATTTAACCTTAGAACTAAAGTACAGAGGAAAAAGGAAGAAAACTGAGAGACATCAGAGGAATATGGTTGGTTAGTACAGATTTCTCTGCCTCCCATTTTGCTAGATTTTCTTTATGGCTCTGTTGTTTCATGTGAAACAATTTTTAAGTCTGTCCTGTTTGACTCTTGTGCTTTTAGGCAAATTCCTATTTGGGGTTGTAACATATTATTTACTTAGAATTTTTATGATGAGAAAACCAGGTTCAAAGAAAGGATTGATTCTTGGGAGTGTTGAGCAAGGAGAAAAAAAAATTATTTTGAAATAGTAAATGGTCTTACATAATAACTTAGGACAATAGTCTGCAAACCATGGCCCTCTGGCCAAATCGGGCCCACTGCCTGTTTGTAAATAAAGTTTTATTGCAATACAGCCATGCCCATTCTTCTATGTTATTGTCTATGGCTGCTTTTGCACTACAGTAGTACAGTTGAGTAGTTGCAAAAGAGATCATGTGGCTCTCAAAGCTTTAAAATAATGACCTTCTGACTATCCACAGAAAAAGTTTGCTGACCCGTGACAAAGGAGTGTAGGAAGTATTTTTCATTTCGTATTTTATTTGGGAGGTTATTTTAGAAAAGTCAAAAAATTACCTTTGGGATAAGAGTAAAAATAAATATTCTACCAGAATTAAAAAATACAACATCATTTTATTCTGTAATCACAATCCTTTTTATATTCTGGGTCTAGTACAAGTGTTAGGAAAGTTTGGATAAAGGGGACAAAGATATACTAAAAAGTAACCTGGGTTATTAATCACACTTAAGTGAGCATCATAAAGCCAAAATATTTAGAAGTAGACTATTAGAAAGCAACCATTCCCACCTTTCTTTTTTTTTTTTTTACATAATTGGAAGCATACCATATGTACTTGTGTCTAGAATCTTTTGCTCAACATTATGCTTATTGTGTGATTGTAATTCATTCATTTTCATTGTTATGTGGTACTCAATCATGTGAATAGACCAGTTTGTTTATTTGTTCTATTGTTGATGGGCATTGGGGTAACTTTCCAGTGTGGGGCCATTATGAATGATGCTATTGTGAACATTTCTGTCCCTGTCTTTTAGTGAGTGTATATATCTAGGAATGGAATTGCTGGGCCACTGGATATTCATTTTTCAACTTTAGCAGTTAAAGCTAGACAGTTTGCCACAGTGATATTCTGATTTCTACCTCATTAGCAGTGTGTGAGAGTTCAGTTGCTTCACATTCTTGTCAACACTTGGAATTTTGACTTTCTAAATTGTAAATAGTCACCTTCCTTTCATTTTGTGAGGAAATAGAAACTCAAATAAGTGAAATCACCTGTCCAGTACCAGGCTTGGTTCTAAGAATGCAAAAGACCTTGCAGTACAGAATTAAGCACTTTTTTTCTCTTTAACTGGTAAGGATTTGTACAGTAAAAAATCATACTCAGACTTGATAGATGGATCTTTCCAAGGAAGATTACAAGCAGCTATTTTTGTCTGATCTGAATTTGAAATCATTTTTTGAACACTACTGTTTTAGGGTCAGTGAACAGTAATGATTTAGGTATACAGCTAGGACCTACATTTAAATTCTTACCTGTCTACTAAAAAAAGATTATAAATTTTCATCGAAGATTAAAATTATCAAACTTTTTTAAAAGAAGCCTTTTTTTATTTTGAGACGGAGTCTTGCTCTGTCGCCCAGGCTGGAGTTCATTGGCGCAATCTCGGCTCGCGGCTCACTGCCTCCTCCACCTTCCAGATTCAAGCGATTCTCCTGCCTCAGCCTCTCAAGTAGCTGGCACTACAGGCGTGTGCCACCATGCCCAGCTAATTTTTTGTATTTTTAGTAGAGACAGGGTTTCACTGTGTTAGCCAGGATGGTCTGGATCTCCTGACCTCGTTATCTGCCCGCCTTGGCCTCCCAAAGTGCTGGGATCACAGGTGTGACCCACCACGCCTGGCTCATTTATTTTTGAAGTTCCAGGTAGGGTAATAATATCTTAGCTTAGCTTTAAACAGTCTTAACAGTCATAATAAAGTTGAAATGCCTTTAAATGTTGTACCTAATGTAGTGCAATGAAAGAGCTCTGTGTAAGGGCTTTTCTTTGTATTGATTAATTTGAGATGACTTATTAAGTAGTGGGAAACCCTAACAGTTGGTTTTTGACAGGAAAAAAAAACACCTTAAAATTTGTTTTTTAGGGTGGAAAAACAGGGAAAAGGCTGATGTTTAAAAACAAAAATAAAAATTAGAAAAATATTTTCAGTGAATATATGAAAAACCAGATATAGATACTATATAGCTTTTAAAAATTACAAATTTAGTGAGATCAATTAGAGAAAATGCAGATAAACAAAAGGGAAAATACTAATAAATATTAACCAGTATTTCTACCAGGTTGTAAACAGCAATGCTTGGAGTCTGTCCTTCCAGGTTTCTTTCACTACACCTTGCTAGGGAAGCCAGGCAAGAAGCTGGTTGTCTAGATGACTTGTTTAAACAAACAAAAGAAGTTGAAAAATACAAATATCACTTTGGAAAATGTTTAAATTTGTTTAACAGTATAAGAAGAAACCTTTCTTATTATATCTTTCATCATTTTGGGACTTGTATGTTTTATAATGAGTCTCCCATTTGCGGGGCATAACTCAGTTTCAAAATCAACATCATTTTAAGCTTGGTGTGCTTCTGTGATCCCAGTTAAGACAGGAGAATCACTTGAGCTGAGGAGTTTGAGACCAACTTGGGCAATATAGCAAGAACCTGTGACAAAAGAAAAAAAAAATCCTTGTGTGTGTATATACACACACATACTTTATCATACATAAACGCACATGCATACAGTCATGTGCTGCATAATGACATTTTAGTCAATGATGGACCACATATGTGATGGTGGTCCCATAAGATTATAATGGAGCTGAAACATTCCTGTCAACTATTGACTTTGTAGCTGTGCTAATGTCATAGCACAGTGCATTACTCATGTGTTTGTGGTGATGCTCTGCATCAAACAAACCTGCACTTCGAGTCATATAAAAGTATAACACATACAGTTATGCACAGTACATAATACTTGATAATGAAAATAAATGACTACTGGTTTATGTATTTACTCATACTAAACTTTTTATCTTTATTTTAGAGTGTACTCCTTCTATTTATAAAAAACAAAAGTTAACTGTAAAGCAGCCTCACACAGGTCCTCCAGGAAGAATCCAGAAGAAGGCATTGTTATCACAGGAGATGACAGCTCCTTACATGTTATTACACCTTAAGACCTTCCAGTGAGACAAGATGTGGAGATGGAAGACAGTGATATTGATCCTGATCCTGTGTAGGACTAAGCAAATGTGTGTGTTTGTGTATTCATTTTCAACAAAAAAGTTTAAAAGGAAAAAAATTTAAAATAGAAAAAAGTTACGGAATAAGGCTGTAAAAGGAAGAACATTTTTTGTACAGCTGTACAATGGGTGTTTTACACTGTTTTTGCAAAAGTCAAAAAGTTATTTAGATTGGTGCAAAAGTCATTGCGGTTCTTGCCATTGAAAGTAGTGACAGGCCAGGCGCATTGGCTCACACCTGTAATCCCAGCACTTTGGGAGGCTGAGGTGGGTGGATCACCTGAGGTCAGGAGTTTGAGACCAGCCTGGCCAACATGGTGAAACCCTGTCTCTACTAAAAATACAAAAATTACCTGGGCATTGTGGCGAGTGCCTGTAACCCCAGCTACTAGGGAGGCTGAAGCAGGAGAATTGCTTGAACCCAGGAGGCAGAGGTTGCAGTGAGCCAAAATTGCAGCAGTGCACACCAGCCTGGGCAACAAGAGCAAGACTCCATCTTAAAAAAAAAAAAAAAAAAAGACAAAACCCACAGTTACATTTGCACCAACCTATTAAAATAAATAGTTTATAAGGTAAAGAAGTTATGTAAACTAATGTATTACAGAAGAAAGAAAAATTATTTTTCCTCCGGAGTCTCCTTCTGTCACCCAGGCTAGAGTGCAGTGGCACAATCTTGGCTCTCACTGCAACCTCCACCTCCCGGGCTCAAGCAATTCTCTTGCCTCAGCCTCCCAAGTAGCTGGAGGATTACAGGCGCCTGCCAGTACCACGCCCGGCTAATTTCTGTATTTTTAGTAGAGATGGGGTTTCACCATGTTATTCAGGCTGGTCTCAAACTCTGGACCTCAGGTGATCCACCCGCCTAGGTCTCCCAAAGTGCTGGGATTACAGATGTGAGCCACCATGCCTGGCCAAAAACTATATTTTTATAGGTTTGATAAAGCCTAAATGTGTGTGTTTATAAAGCCTACAGTACAGTAGTGTCCTGGGCTTTCACCTTCACTCACCACTCACTCACTGACTCACCCAGAGCAACTTTGAGTCCTGTAAGCTCCATTCATACTAGGTGTCCTATGCAAGTGTACCATTTTGTATCTTTTATACTATATTGTTCTTGTAGTTTTTCTATGTTTAGATATACAAATATCATTGTGTGCAGTTGCCTACAATATTCAACACAGTAACAGTGCTGTACAGGTTTGTAGCCTAGGAGCAATAGGCTATATCATATAGCCCAGGTGTGTAGTAGGCTATACCATCTAGGTTTGTGAGTACACTCTGTGATGTTTGCACAAGGACAAAATCACCTAACGACACATTTCTCAGAACATGTCCTCATCATTAAGCGACGTGACTACACACACAATTTGTGCATTTGCCTTAACTATTTCCTTAAGTGGAATTACAGAATCAAAACATTTAATTGTTTTTTTCTTTTTTTGTGAGATGAAGTCTCACTCTGTGTCCCAAGCTGGAATGCAATGGCAGGATCGCGGCTCACTGCAACCTCTGCCTTCCAGGTTCAAGCAATTCTCTTGCCTCAGCCTCCCGAGTAACTGGGATTATAGGCGTGTGCCACCATGTCCACCTTAATTTTTGTGTTTTTAATAGAGATGGGGCTTTACCATGTTGGCCAGGCTGGTCTCAAATTCCTCACCTCAGATGATCTACCTGCTTCGGCCTCCCAAAGTGCTGGGATTACAGGCGCAAGCCACTGCATCCGGCCAGCATTTAATTCTTTAAGACTTTAGAATTTCTCTCTACTCAATAGAAGTTTATTCCTACTCTGTGGCAGTACTATTCTAGGCACTGAGAATACGAGAGGAGGCTCAGTGAACCAAACAGTTCCTGCTCTTAAGAAGGTTGGTGGGAGGTCAGGATTAATAAGACAATAAATAAGTAAACAAATAAAGAATTAATTTCAGGTAGTTACAAGTGCTATGAAGTAAGACAAGTTGAAGTAGTTTCTGGGGTGAAAATGTGGAGTAGGTGGTCAGATAAGCAGCCTTCATTGTAGAAGTTAGGTTTGAGTTAACATATGGAAGAAAGAAAAAGCATGGAAGGATCTGTGGTTAAAGCATTTCAGGCTGAGTAAACTGATATGCAAAGACTTAAGGCAGGAACAAGTTTGACATGTTTGAGGAATAAAGTCCCAGTGTTGTGGGAATTCAGCCATGGGAAGAGTAATAGGGATGAGATCGAAGAGCTAAAGGACCACAGTCAGAAGCTTAGATTTTATCCGAGGTGCATAAGAGAGGTATCAGAGATTTTATGTAATAGGATGACATCTAATTTACATATTTAGAAAATCATTTGGCTGCTGTGTGAGGAATGGATTAGAGATAGGAGTATTTGAAAAGACAAAATGGAAACAGAGAGACAAATTGAAGTTCTGCCCTAATTCGGAAATTGATGGTTGTTCTTTGTGCTAAGGTAGTATCATGGAGGTTGTAAAAAGTGAATAGATAAGAGATAACTTTTTATATGCCAGTGGATTGGATGTGGTGGGTGAGAGAAAGGAAGGTGTCAAGAGTAACTCCTAGGTTTTTGGCATAACACCTGGGTAGAGGTTAGCGTATTTACTAAGATAATGAAGACAAAGGTCTAGGAATGGGAATTGAGTTGGCCATGTTAAATTAAAATACCTAATGGAGATGTCAAACAGTATTTGATCAGTGGTTGTTGGTCAAGTATGGAGAAATAATGTACCAATGTATACTTCAAGCAAGAATGTATTTAATTGCCCCTTTCTCTATATTGTGAAGTACCCCAGTAATTATTTTGTATAAGCAAAAAATTTTTTTATAATTATTGGTCATATGTATTTCTTTACTGAAATCCCTGTTTATATTTTTTCACCATTGTTGTGTGTGTCTGCAATAAGTGTAAACCTTTTGTGTTTGTGTATTGTAATTTTCTGCCATGTTGACATTGGTTTTTAATTTTAGTGTGTTTTTATTTTTTACCTTGGAGAAATACTTAAATTTTATGTAGTTATTTTGTAATTTCTTTCTTTCTTTTTTTTTTTTTTTGAGACGGAGTCTTGCTCTTTAGCCCAGGCTGAACTGCAGTGGTGCGATCTTGGCTCACTGCAACCTCTGCCTCCCAGATTCAAGCGATTCTCCTGCCTCAGACTCCCGAGTAGCTGGGACTACAGGCATGTGCCACTACGCCTGGCTAATTTTTTTTTTTTTTTGAGTTAGAGTTTCACTCTTGTTGCCTGGCTGGAGTGCAATGGCTCGATCTCGGCTCACTGCAACCTCTGCCTTCCGGTTTCAAGCGATTCTCCTGCCTCAGCCTCCCGAGTAGCTGGGATTACAGGCGCCCGCCACACCACACCCAGCTAATTTTTCAATTTTTAGTAGAGATGGGGTTTCACCATGTTGGCCAGGCTGGTCTTGAACTCCTGACCTCATGATCCACCCACCTCGGCCTTCCAAAGTGCTGGGATTACAGGCATGAGCCACTGTGCCCCGCCTAATTTTTGTATTTTTAGTAGAGATAGGGTTTCAACATGTTGGCCAAACTGGCCTCGAACTCCTGAAGTTAAGTGACGCGCCCACTTCGGCCTCCCAAAGTGCTGGGATTGCAGGCTTGAGCCACTGCGCCTGGCCTCATTTTATAATTTCTTTTATTGTTTTTACCTTTGTTTGTATCCTTTAAAAGGTCTTTTCAGCGTTAAAATCAGGAAAGTATTCTAGCTGGTTTTTTTTAGTTCTTTGATGATTTTGGTTTTGCATCATTAATCCATCTAAGGTTTTATTTTGGTACATAATGTAAATAAGTCTCATTCTCTCCCCTTCACCTGCAGAATGGTTTACCCTTAGTTCACTATCATTTATTAGATAATGTATCTTCTCTCTCTGATTAAATATCCTACCTTTATTTTATATCCTAAATTCTTAGAAACTTGGGTCTTTTGGGGGGTTTTCTGTTATATGCTGCTATTAATCCATGTGATCATTTTTCTGATTTTTTACAGCTCTACAGAAAAAAAGAGAATCCTTTTTATTATCCAGTCATTTTTTTCCTTAACATCACCACCTTCAGTTACTGTCAACATTTTGCTATATTTGTTTCATATGGGTCCACACTGCCTACCATCCCACCACCACTTTTCTTGCTGAGGATTTTAAAATTAGGGAGGTGGACAGCATTTCTTACATAACCACAATACTACTATCATAGCCAACAAAATTAATAATTTCTAAATGTCATTTAAAATTCAGTCTATATTCAGATTTTCCAGACTGTTTCAAAAATGCCTTTGTATACTTTGTTCACATTAAAACCCAAATAATAGTTTACTAATTCTATTTGCTTATGCCTGTTAATTCTTGTTTTAATTTAAAACAAGCCCCACTCCCTTTTTTTAATGCCTTTGATTTTGGTAAAATAACTGAGTCTGTTGTTCTGTAGAATGTCCCTCATTCTGAATTTAGCTGTTTGCTTCTTTGTGGTATCATTTAACTTATTTCTGTTTCATTTTCTATGGATTGGGAGTTAGATCTAATGGTTGATTATATTTAGGTGTATTACTTCAATTATTTATTTAGTTAGGCCATAATATGTATTTTGGTGATGTACACTTCAAAATAATATCTGTTTATTTCACTTATACCACTGCTAGGCTTGATTAGTGCCTCATACAATGACAGCCTGATCCTTTAATTGTGAAGTTCCTCATTAAGCTTTCACCTAGTGGCTTTATCATCTGTTGATATCTATTGGTCTTCCATTACAAGTGACCACTACCTGAATCATTTATTTCAGTATGGATTGTTAAATAGTGATTTTTCTGAATTTATCATTATCCATATATTAGCTGGAATTCTATAGCACATTAACATAATGGAGTGCTCCGTAGCTGTAAAAAGAAATGCAGAAGGTATAGACATAGAGTTATTGCCAGGACATTTTTTTAGTTGAAAAGGGGGCTATATTTACAACAGTATATATGTTTAGCTTATATAAATAGAAACAATGGAAGGATTAAACTATAAGCTAATAAAAATAGTTAACTATAGGCAGAGGTGTCAAGAGTGAAATAAGATATCTCTGAATACCTTATTGTATTAGTACCTTATTGTAATGTTTTTTGACATTAGAATTATATAAATGTTATGTTTACTCAAAAACCAAAAAGATTAAAAATGATCCTTAAATATGAAAAACAAAATAAAATTAAAAAACCTGTTTATCAAGTTGGATACATTCTAATACCAAGAAAAGTACTGTTCAAGCTGATCTTAAAACCTAGTATTTTATACATCTCAGTGGGATATAACGTAAGGACAAAAAGAACTATGAAAAATTTAATAATCTGACATAATATTGGTGGTGTTATAAATGTATATTATAGGATAAAATAATGCTGTTACCATTAGAAATAAAGATTTGTAGCAAAAGAGAACAGAGATACCGGTATAAAATCAAAGAACTTAAGTAAAAACCCCGTCATCTTAAATTTGTATTGGAACTGTCAACGTGGACTCATTATTTGCTTCTACTTTAACATGTGTATTTTCCATCTTTACCTGTTGCCAAGTATCTGGAAGTAATAACAGCACACTAGCAATAAGCACCTTTATCATCCAGATTATGGTTTTTAGATATCATCTCTACTTAAAAGGAGCCAAGATTCCTTTTTAGACAAACAATTCTAGATTTGAAGTAAAAGAGTATAAAATAGTGTGTAAGAAAGCAAGGAAACTATCAAAGGCTAGTTAGGTTCATATAAAAGGACACTGGGGCCATCTTGAAAGGGCTTTCACTGGCTAAAGATTGGGTAGTTTGAACATCATAAGAATAATGACTGTAATTCATTACATCAGTTTGAGATAACAAGCCATTAATTCATGATAATATTAAAAACATAGGAAACAAAATAAGGCAAAACCTATTGAACACGATTGTACATTTCTATGGTACCAACTCATTATTGTGAAAGTTGGTAATTGGGGGAGGGGAACCTTGAGAACAGTGGGGCACTTATCGTGTTTTTCAAGTATAAACTGTATTCAGGGAAACCAAATTGCTCATGTTGAAAAGCATTGTTGCTGAAATTTCATTGCGAGGGTTAACCTTGCTAATAAGATTCAAATTTATTCAGTACTTTTGCTTTGAGTTTTTTTCAAGTGTGCTTTAGATTGACTGCATACCAAGCCAGATTTAAATTTTCTTACCTTTTTGCTTTTTCTGTATGTTGAGATATGTAGTATATATAAGAAAATTTATTTATGTTTTATTGTTCTTTTATTTTGTTTTGAATTGCTCTTTCAGCAGTATCCTGGTGTGAACCAGCTATCCTCCAGTATAGGAGGATTGAGTCTTCAGAGTTCTCCACAACCAGAAAGCCTGAGACCTGTAAACCTTACTCAGGAGAGGAATATTTTACCTATGACTCCTGTTTGGGCTCCTGTACCTAACTTGAATGCAGACCTCAAAAAATTAAACTGTAGCCCAGAGTAGGTATTTATTTATTTTATAATCTTTCTTAAGTGATGAAAACATTGTATGACTTTCAAAAATAGTAAAAGTAGTATGTTATTTCTTCGGTTGGAAGTTTCATTAATGTTGACTTTTCTCTTTTAGTTTGTATAGATGTAAAATTTGACTTAGGTCATCTCTTTTTGTTCCCATCTCTGTCTCAATCCAGTCCCTTCCCCCCATCACCTAATGTTAGGGAAATTATTTCTATTTGAATGAAGGGTTTCAGGAACCCAAATATAACTATATTTTTTATTTCTTAAATCTTTTTCCTCACTTTTCAATAATAATAACTTCTGATATCTTTTCAATAAGGACAGATATTTGAAATTTCAGGCTTTGCTTGAAAAGAACATAGACCTCACTTATGTAATCTCAAGAACAGGTTTAGATAAATGGTTTATCTCAGAATTTTCTTTTCCCACTCAATATAGAGTATGAAGACCTTTGACTCCCAGGCTTAATCCAGTCTGA
The DNA here is from genome assembly GCF_000001405.40 of Homo sapiens. NCBI lineage: Eukaryota > Metazoa > Chordata > Mammalia > Primates > Hominidae > Homo > Homo sapiens. The sequence goes on from NC_000004.12 coordinate 109,507,009, forward strand.
ATCTAGACTGGATTTCCTTTAATAGAGAAGTTTAGCTGGCAGACTGCACTGGCAACCACCAAGCCCTGGTGTACCTTTGTGTGAATGAGCTCTGTTACTCACTTCACAGTGCCTCATGTCTTTGTTCTTGCATGCTTTTAGTTCTGTATCCTATGAATAGGATATCCCCCTGGTCCTAGTTTTTTTCTTTTTTTGGAAGACATCCTCCTGCATCTGGAATTTCTCCTCCTCATAAAGTAAACACTGATTCACAGAACAACATTGTCTTCCTTTTTTTTTTTTTTTTGATGGGGTCTCAGTCTGTCACCCAGGCTGGAGTGCAGTGGCCCGATCTTAGCTGACTGCAACCTCCGCCTCCCAGGTTCAAGTGATTCTCGTGCCTCAGCCACCAAGTAGCTGAGATTACGGGTGTGCACCATGATGCGTGTCTAATTTTTGTATTTTTATTAGAGATGGGGTTTCACCATGTTGGGCAGACTGTTCTCGAACTCCTGACTTCAGGTGACCTGCCCGCCTTGGCCTCCCAAAGTGGTGGGATTATAGGTGTGATCCACCGCGCTTGGCCAACATTGTCTTCTTCCTTGCATTAGGAGAATTAGTGTTCTTTAGAGCCAATATTTCCTCTTTCTTTTTTTCTTTCTTTTTTTTATTTTTGAGACGGAGTTTCGCTGTTGTTGCCCAGGCTGGAGTGCAATAACGCCATCTCGGCTCACCGCAATCTCCGCCTCCCAGGTTCAAGTGATTCTCCTGCTTTAGCCTCCCGAGTACCTGGGATTACAGGCATGTGCCACCACACCCAGCTAATTTTGTATTTTTAGTAGAGACAGGGTTTCTGCATGTTGGTCAGGCTGGTCTCGAACTCCCGACCTCAGGTGATCCGCCCACCTCGTCCTCCCAAAGTGCTGGCATTACAGGCGTGAGCCACTGTGCCCAGCCTATTTCCCTTTTCTTAAAGCAGTAGTTTTCCAGCTTTAAAAAAAAAGCGGCAAACCACTCTTCAACCAAAATATTATATAGAATTCCAATATAGAAAATAAGAAGTGGAGCTGCTTTGAGAATTTCCCCTCTTCTTCCACTGTACCATCCACACACCATCAGTGCCTCAGGTACTGCCAAGATTGTTTCCGTAAAAATACAGAGTGTCATGGATTATAGGTTGAAAACAGCTGCCCATCCTTCCAAATATAAGTTGCTACCAGGTTGATAAGTTTGTAAATTATGACCTTGTAGTATAAAAGGTTAGGTACCCCCTACGTAGGTAAATGTAGCGTATGGGCCATGCATAGTAGCTCACGGCTGTAATTCCAGCACTTTGGGAAGGCAAGGCAGGTGGATCGCTTGAGCCCAGGAGTTTGTGACCAGCCTGGACAACATGGCGAAACCCCTTCTCCTCCAAAAAAACAAAAAAATTAGCTGAGCATAGTGCCATGTGCCTGTGGTCCCAGCTACTCTGTAGGCTGAGGTGGGAGGATCCTTTGAGCCCAGGAGGTGGAAGTTGTGGCGATCCAAGATCATAACACTGTACTCCAGCCTGGGTGACAGAGTGAGACCCTGTCTCAAAAAAATAAAAAATTATTAAAAAAAAATATGTTGCATATGTATAAGAGAACCCATAGGTAAGGGGAAGGCATACATTTTTCTACCCAGTTATGTGTGTTTTGCGAAAATGTCTCTTTTATCAAAATAACAAATAATTAGGAGTACAGGCTTTAGAGTTGAGCAGACCTAAGTAGCTGTGAAACTGTGCAATTTATTTAACCTCTCAAAGTCTCAGTTTTGTCAACTGTAAAACAGGAATAATAATAGTATCAGCATACTAAAATAAATCATTCAATAAACATTTATCAAATGCCTTGGAAGTTAAATGCAAAGCACTGTTTTCCGTGTACTGGGGATAAAGTTGTGAACAAAACACAGTTCCTGATCTCTGTGGAATCACAGAACTTATATTCTCCGATGAACAGTCAAACTAGTAAATATATAATGTAATGTTTAGGGTATTACAATGAAGAAAAATAAATCAGAATAAGGAGTGCAGGTGGAGGGTGACTCTTGTAAATAGAAGAGTCTGGACAGGTTTACCCAAAGACTTTTAACATTTGAGTAGAGATCTGGGTGAAGTGAGAGAGTAAGCCACATGACTTCTCTGGGAATAAAAGGGTTCCAACCTGCATGAATGGCAAATATGGAGGTCCTGAAGCAGGAACAAGCTTTTTGTGTTCAAGGAACAACACTAAGGCTGGAATAAATAGATATCTCTACATGATATTAACGACTCTTCATAAAATTTCTTGCCTGGCTTTCAGTACTTCTGCTTTTTACTGCTTTGGCATCTCCTTTATTCATTCTTTGTTTATTGACTTTAAAACTTCATAAGTTATTTGGCCAGGCACAGTGGCTCACGCCTGTAATCCTAGCACTTTGGAAGGCCGAGGCAGGCGGATGGATCACAAGGTCAGGAGATCGAGACCATCCTGGCTAACATGGTGAAACCCCGTCTCTACTAAAAATACAAAAAATTAGCTGGGCATGGTGGCAAGCGCCTGTAGTCCCAGCTACTCAGGAGGCTGAGGCAGGAGAATGGCGTGAACCCAGGAGGCGGAGCTTGCAGTGAGCCGAGATCGGGCTGCTGCACTCCAGCCTGGGCGACAGAGCAAGACTCCATCTCAGAAAAAAAAAAAAAAAAAAAAAAAAGTAGGCCTTTTCACTTATGTTTTCTGTGTGCTCCTATTCATCTCCTTCAGGCTAGTCATAATGGAGTAGTTGGTCTTCCCTGAATGTGTACTATTTTTCCACCATGAAAGTGTTGACTCTTTAATTTAGATTTTTTGACATATATTGCATACATGCCTAATTAATCAGGACCTTCTTGCTTACAGTTACAGTAACATGCCCAAATGATTTTCACTTATGTCCTTAAATGTTCTTAGTTATCTTATCTACTTCAGTGTATTTTTCTCTGATAGCTAATATCCTCCATGTTGTTTATGTTTTTTGCAGTTCATTTCGGTGTACTTTGACAAATATTCCACAGACACAGGCTTTACTGAATAAAGCTAAGCTTCCTTTAGGATTGTTGTTACATCCCTTCAGAGACCTAACGGTAAAGTAACATTTTATAATATTTATGGGTACTGACATGTATGCTTATGTACAAGGTACTTAAATTTTATATTTTCTTAGAATTTTCTATATCTTCTTTTATTTGAAGTTAGAAATAATCATTTCCATAACAACTTGGCAAACATTTTTTGAACACCTGCTTTGTGACAAGCTCTAAACTAAGCACTGGTAGTACAGAGATGATCAAGTCATTGAAGTTGCCTCCAAAAAGTTCTTATCTAACAGGGAACAAAGATGTAAAAATAATTACAGTGCAGGATAATTAATACATGTAATTAATCAAATTCTATGAGATACTTAGGTAGTGAGTACAGTATGAGAAGTGATTCCCTGTGGATACAATAGCAAAAGTTTTCTATAAGTGTTGAAGTCTGTCCTGGATTTTGAAAGATTAGTAGTTTTGGAAGGTGGAATGGCCCTGGAAGGTAGATACACTTTCGGAGTTCTTTATTAAACACAAAGGAAACACCAACAGTGATGTCCACTTAGAGAGGAAAACTGCCTGTTCCTTAACAAATTAAACAAATTTGTTAATTCAACAAATAACCTTTGTAACAGTAGGGATTTTTAAACTTGTAAAGTTTTAAAAGTTTTAAATTTTGAAAACTTCAAAAATAATTTTATTCAGGGCTGTTTTATTTGTACTTCATAAGTTGCATTTCTGTCTCAAACTTTTTTTTACTACTGTTGTTTACTACCCTTCTTACTGGTTCTGAGTTTTCTTTTGCTGTCATTCATCCAAAAAATATTGATTGACTACCTGTCACGTTGGAAGCTGGAGATACAAAGGGTAAATTAAAAGCTTCCTTGTGAAGCTTACTTTACTACCAGGAAGTATAGAAAAGATCAAAATGAATAGAAAATAAAAAATTGTAATATGTGATAAGTACCGTGAATTTATTCATTGGGTAAATATTTTTAATCACCTATAATACTCTGAAAACCTTATCTATAAACCAAGACAGTTAATTTCATATATATATGAAATTGTATACTATATATATGTATATATATGAGAGAGTTTTTCTCTAAATACAGATATACATGATACCTTCTGGAAGCATGTATACTAAATTGTTTACAGTGACATCTTCTGTGATATAGAGTTCTGTAATTTTTTATTTTCTCATTCTCAGTTAACTATATTTCCTGATTTTTTTTTACAACAGATATGTGGTTACTTGCATAATAATAATCATATATGTGAAAAAATTAAATACAAAGATCAAAATGTTCATGTGCAGATAGAAAAAAACAGAATGATATACTAAAATGATAGCAGGTTAATTCAGAGACATAGAATAATATGTGATCTCTTAATCTTTTTTCATATTTTCTAAAGTTTCTACTTGAATATAAAATTCATTTCCCAAACTAAGCATAGAGATGTAATTTTTTTTAAAGGCACGTTGTGTTTGACTGCTTCTGGCCTCAGCTCCTGTCAGAAGTTGCTGTGGCAGTCTAATGAGCAGTGCCTAATAGTCTAGTACCACGTGCAGTCAACAAAGACAAAGGTATTTGTATATGGTATGTTTCTCTCTCACTGTTATTTCTAAAGTTAAACTGATAAGATCTCACTTACATTATTTTCTTGGCCAATGTTTGTTATGACTTTATTTTAGTGTTATGATTTGTGACAAGAGGGAGAAAACTTGATGGCTACATGTGTTGCTCAACATGTCCCTGGATTTTATTAATATGCTTCCATATAAAACCACATAAAAACAATTAAGGTTTATGTTCTGTATTTGGAGCAGATCTGTGTACGTTCTGTTTTTCCTTGGGGTGCCTTTTTCTGCTACAGCTTCTTTATTTTATTTCCTAGCAATTACCAGTGATAACATCAAATACCATTGTGAGGTGCCGATCCTGTCGAACGTATATTAACCCCTTTGTATCCTTCATTGATCAACGTAGATGGAAATGCAATTTGTGCTATAGAGTAAACGATGGTGAGTTTTAGATTCTTAATTGTGTTTTAATCCTATTTTCAGGTTTTTTTTTTTGAGATTTTTGTCATCTCCTGGTTTCTCTCTTCATTGCTTTAAAAAGAATTTTCATGCCATTTTTAGTAGAGGGAATATAGGCTAAGGCTAGGACTAGGGATTCTTCATTTTGGCTGACCAAGGGGATAATTGACAATGAGGAGAGTAACAGTGAGGACAAAGTAAGAAAAATAGAAACAGTGACACTCATGCAGGTGAGCTTATGCAGACTAGTTATGCTTGTCCCTGACAGTAAGATTGTCTTACATTTGTATATTTGGTTCATTCAACTCAGGTAGAACTTTGCCAGTGTATCTGGATGCATGCATGTATATATGTCTGTCTCTTGTTCCCTTTATTCATTTCTTCGGGTTCCCCTACTAGAGTTGCTTTCAAATTTATGTTTCTCTGTCTGATTTTTTTCCATGTCATTTGATATAATAAATAGGATACAAGTCTAAGAAGGAAGGTTACTTGCATCCTGGTTTTCTCACCTGATTTCAGAACATAAGTTTTTTTATCCTTCTGATCTATTTTTTTTTTTTAATTTTTTTTTTGAGACAGGGTCTCGCTCTGTCACCCAGGCTGGAGTGCAGTTGCACAATATGGCTCACTGCAATCTCTGCTTTCCAGGTTCAAGCTATAAGTTTTTCTCATGCCTCAGCCTCCCAAGTAGCTGAGACTACAGGCTTGCACCACCACACCTGGCTAATTTTTGTATTTTTGGTAGAAATGGGGTCTCGCTATGTTGGCCAGGCTAATCCTGAACTCCTGGGCTCAAATGATCCATCCACCTCAGCCTCCCAACCCAAGAGCTGGGATTACAGACATGAGCCACTGCACCTAAGCCTGATCTTTTTTTTTTTTTTTTTTTTGGAGATGGAGTCTCACTCTGTCACCCAGGTTGGAGTGCAGTGGTGCGATCTCAGCTCACTGCAACCTCCACCTCCCGGGTTCAAGCAATTCTTCTGCCTCAGCCTCCCGAGTAGCTGGGACTACAGGTGTCTGCCACCATGTCTGGCTAATTTTTGTATTTTTAGTAGAGATGGGGTTTTACCATATTGGCCAGGCTGGTCTCGAACTCCTGACCTCGTGATCTTCCCCGCCTCAGCCTCCCAAAATGCTGGGATTATAGGTGTGAGCCACTGCGCCTGGCCCCCTGATTATTATTTTTTTTTTTTTTCGGAGACAGAGTCTCACTCTGTCGCCTAGGCTGGAGTGCAGTGGTGTAATCTCAGCTCACTGCAACCTCTGCCTCCCAGGTTCAAGCAATTCTCCTGCCTCAGCCTCCTGAGTAGCTGGGATTACAGGCGCACACCACTATGCCTGGCTAATTTTTGTTTTTTTAGTAGAGACGAGGTTTCACCATGTTGGTCAGGCTGTTCTCAAACTCCTGACCTCGTGATCCGCCCGCCGCGGCCGCCCAAAGTGCTGGGATTGCAGGCGTGAGCCACCGCCCTGATCTATTTTTTAAGGAGGGCTTAAGGGATTGATTTTTACCATTAAATGTTCGCAGAACTGTTGCTAAACCTCGTGTAAATATTGATAATAGATATTTATTTTTAGGTGTGTATATATGTGTTTAGTTACAAATTGTGTCTCTAAATTTGTACTGGGACCTCTTATCTAGTTCCTGAAGAATTTATGTATAACCCCCTTACCCGATCTTATGGAGAGCCTCATAAACGACCAGAAGTTCAGAATTCAACTGTGGAGTTCATTGCTTCTTCAGATTACATGGTAACTATTCAGTGTTAAGATTTGTTATGGAACACAATTACATTGGTCATTTGTAATTTTCTGTTAAGTGAACTCTTATCGAGATTTTGAAGTTGTTTATACTCATAATTTTTAAAAACAAATTAATGCTGGAAGTTTATATTTAACAAAGAGAAAATCTTTCTAAAGGTTATTCGATCTCCTAGAAGGCTTTCTATGAATAAGAAATGTTAGTTCTGTCTTATGATGGGCACTAGCATCTATGACTTGTTGCCATTTTGATTTCCTTGCATGGAATGGATATAGATACCCTTTTACCATTTAACATTTAAGACTCTCAAAACAGAGAAATGCACATTTTTGCCCAAAACTTAAGTTTTTTCACCAAGATACCAAGATAAGTGGATATGGACTTCTAATTTTTTCTTCTGTTGCAATTAGAAAATTCTGTCTCTTCTTTAATTATATGAACTGTAAGATCTCATTCTTCTTTTCACTTCAAAAACGAATTACTGGCCCTAAGGTTTGCTCATCTTCGTTATCATATCTTCTCTTTTTAACATATTTATAAAAACTGTATTGGCTGGGTGTGGTGGCTCACGTCTGTAATCCCAGCACTTGCGGAGGCTGAGGTGGGTGGATCACCTGAGGTCAAGAATTTAAGACCAGCCTGGCCAACATGGTGAAACCCTGTCTCTACTTAAAATACAAAAATTAGCTGGGCGTGGTGGTGCACGCCTGTAATCCCAGCTGCTAGGGAGGCTGAGGCCGAGAATTGCTTGAACGTGGGAGGGGGAGGTTGCAGTGAGCCAAGATTGTGCCATGGCACACCAGCCTGGGCAACAGGGGAAGACTCCGTCTCAAAAACAAACAAACAAACTCAAAAAACTATATCTTCTGTAGCTACAACTCTAATCCTTGTTGTCCGCAAAACTTAAACTGCTGCTAGTGAAAAGGAGTAAGCGATGTGCATTAAATTTTTGGCGCCTGGCTCATCTTTATTTTTGTAATTTTTGTGTTCTTTTGTGTCTAATTTGGCATATGCCCACCTAACTACCATTTTCATGTTTGTTTCTGTATTAACTGTAATAAACTTTATCTTGATCACTTTTACTCTCAAGCCCTACCTTCTTTATGATTTATTATTTTCCCACTCCATATTGGGTCCTTAGGAATCTTAATCTAATTGAAGTGGTAAAGCAAGAAATAATCTTTTAAGTTTTGCCATATGATTCATATGGCCCTTGGTTAGCACATTTTTATTTATTTATTTATTTATTTTTGAGATGGAGTCACGCTCTGTCATCCAGGCTGGAGTGCAGTGGCACCATCCCGGCTCACTGCAAGCTCTGCCTCCCGGGTTCACGACATTCTCCTGCCTCAGCCTTCCGAGTAGCTAGGACTACAGGCTCCCGCCACCACGCCCGGCTAATTTTTTGTATTTTTAAGTAGAGACGGGGTTTCACCATGTTAGCCAGAATGGTCTTGATCTCCTGACCTCGTAATCCACCGGCCTCAGCCTCCCAAAGTGCTGAGATTACAGGCGTGAGCTACTGCTCCTGGCTCCAGTTAGCATATTTTTAAGAAAAGATTTAATATATTCTTTTATTTTAACTTTACTTATTTATGTACTTAATTTTTACTTGAGACAGAGTTTCACTCTGTCACCCAAGCTAGAGACAAGGTTTTACCATGTTGCTCAGACTGGTCTCAAACTCCTGGGCCCGAGCAATCCACCTACCTTGGCTTCCCAAAAGTGCTGGGATTACAGGCATGAGCCACTGCACCTGGCCTATTTCAACTTTATATAACAGCAGTTTTCACACGTACTCCAAAGAAAACAGTATAATGAGCCATCCTTTACCCATCACCAAGCTTCAACAATTATCAACCATAAGGACTTTTCAAAGAATGTATTTAAAGGCCAGGCACAGTGGCTCACACCAGTAATCCTAGCACTTTGGGAGGCTGAGGCGGGCGGATCAAGTGACATCAGGAGTTCATAACCAGCCTGGCCAACATAGTGAACCCCCCCCCACCCCCATCTCTACCAAATACAAAAATTAGCTCTGCGTGGAGGCATGTGCCTGTAGTCCCAGCTACTCAGGAGGCTGAGGCAGGAGAATCGCTTGAACCTGGGAGGCAGAGATTGCAGTGAGCCAAGACTGCACCACTGCACTCCAGCCTGGATGACAGAGTGAGACTCTGTCTCCAAAAAAAAGAAAAGTATTTATAATACCATCACAAGGACTTTCTTTACACATAGCACTTAAACATTAGGATTCAGTCACCTCCAGGTAAACCAATAGCTGGTACTAATGGCAAATTGTTGGGTTTAAAATTTGTTTTTAGGAAAGGGGAAGGGATGTACATCTAGAGAGCTTAGTATTAAATCATAAGCCTAATTTTTAAAAAATGAACTCTTAGCCAACACTCCTTATCAGAAAAACATTTAACCCATCTATTTAACTGTGGCTGTGTATCAACTGCCTTATCATGCTTAGTCCACAACCAACTAAAAAGAAAAAAAATTAAAAGCATATCATTTTCATGAGCACATATTACAAAATAGCAATCCTATTTGTGTATTTTTTGTGTTAATATATTCAGTAAATATCCAGTAGCAATAGTAATATATAAAAAGAATAAATTGTACCTACCAAATAACTTACTTTATTTTTATTCCTTTCAGCTGCGTCCTCCTCAACCTGCAGTTTACTTGTTTGTTTTAGATGTGTCTCATAATGCAGTGGAAGCTGGATATTTGACAATTTTGTGCCAGTCACTCCTAGAAAATCTAGACAAGTAAGAATATTTTTAATTCATACTATACATATGTGTATGTTATATATATAAATGTGTATAAATATGAAGTGTTCGCAGTTTGTGGGATTGGGTTTGGTTGTATTTATCAACTAAAAAGAGTACTACTTATGTACCACAGAATAAGAATGCAGATACTCGAGTTATGATTTATGACTTGGTATCTGAATTATAAAATCATAAAAATCTAGTATTTAGTCAGGAATTTAGATCTCATCTAACTGTCTGACTCAGCCAATCTGAACACAGGGGCCAGAAATGTTGAGTTAGCCAGTATATCGGGAATCTGGATGAGACTATCAAAAAGACAAAAGATAACATGTTGGTGAGGATGTGGAGAAAAGGGAAACTGCACACTTTGGGGAATGTAAATTAGTACAGCCATTATAGAAAACAGTATAAAGGTCCCTCAGAAAATTTAATACAATTGTCGTATGATCCAGCAATCCCACTACTTGGAATATATCCAAAGAAAATAAAATCAGTGTGTGGAAGATATATCTGCACTCCCATGTTTATTGTAGCATTTGTAGTTTATTCACAAGAGTCAGGATACATAATCAGACTAAGTATCCATCAACAGATGGATGGATAAAGAAACTGGTATATGTGCAAATGGAATACTATCCAGCCTTTAAAAAGAAAATTTTTTCTCATTTGTGATACCATGGATAAACCTGGAGGTCATTACGTTAAGTGAAATCAGAACAGATATTGCGTGTTCTCATTCATTGTGGGAGCTAAAAAGGTAAATCTCATAAAAGTAGAGAGTACAGTGGTTGTTACCAGGGGTGGGGTGGGAGGTTTTGAGAGATCCTAGCCAAAGTGTAAAAGATAGGAGGAATAAGTTCAAGAGATCTGTTGTACAACGTGATGACTATAGTTAATAGCAATATATTGTATTCTTGGAGAAATGCTAAGAGATGAGAATTGTTGTGTTCTCACTACAAAAATTTTAACTTTGTGAGGCAATGCATATATTCATTAGCTAGATTTAGCCATTCCACAGTGTAGATATATATATTTCAAAACAACATGTTTTACATGACAGATACATACAATCTTATCTGTCAGTTTAAATAAAATTTAAAAAGATAAAAGGATTTTTTTAAAAAGAATCTGGATGAGAGAAATCTGGCTGTAATTTATGCCTGAGCAAGGAATTTTTTCCATAAACTTGTTTTAATTGCACTGATGACAGAATGAGCTGGTTTAAAGGGAAGGAGGGAACTGATTTTGTGCTAAATATGTTAGGAAGCGAGAAACTGAGCATTTTGTTTGTTTGTTTGTTTATTTATTTATTTATTTATTTATTTATTTATTTTTTGAGACAGAGTCTCGCTCTGTTGCCCAGGCTGGAGTGCAGTGGCGCGATCTCAGCTCACTGCAACTTCCGCCTTCTGGGTTCAAGCAATTCTCTTGCCTCAGCCTCCCAAATAGCTGGGATTACAGGCACCCACCACCACACTAGGCTAAGAAACTGAGCATTTTGTCACATTAGTAATGAGCTGGATTGTGGAAATGGAAATAGCAAGTATAGGATACGTGGCTTATACCTGGCTCTAATTCCCTCCTCTGTGTCTACCAAGATTAGTCATGAAGGAGCCCCTCATCTAGCTTTAAAAATGAACCATCCAAATCTCTGGAAAGTACAGTTGTTTGCACATTTCCGTTTCACTCCAACACCCACAAGAGATGTGGCTTCAGGTTGTTAGTGAGAGTGGTTCACTACTGCAGTGGTTCTCAACATCTGTCGAGGTGTGGGGCTTGTTATATATGAATACTTTGTCCCAAGTACTTTGGTGATTCCAAAAGGTTCTCCTCTATCTTTCATTTGAGCTTGAAGAGTCCTTGCCCTGTTGAATGCTACTTCTAGTCACCATAGTCTTCATATCACTGATCTTGGCCTGAAAGGAAACTGATAACATTAAGATGTTCAAGATTTTAAAAATTGAGAGATATTGAGAGATTTGCTTTTGGTGTTTGTTACTAAGAGTTTTCATGTTTTAATCCTTGAAGTATTTGCCCCTACTTTAGTCACAAGTGCTTACTTCAAAAATAGCTTTAACAGTGAGTGGCAACGGAAGACTGCTCTACAGAAATGATTGGTTGGCTTGTTGTTGGTTTGTTGTTGATGTTTCTGTCTTTTTTTTTTTTTTTTTTTTTGAGACAGAGGCTTGCTCTGTTCCCCAAGCTGGAGTACAGTGGTGTGATCTCTGCTCGCTGCAGCCTTGACCTCCCAGGCTCAAGTGATCCTCCCACTTCAGCCTCCTTAGTAGCTGCGACTACAAGCGCACACCATCACACTCGGCTAATTTTTGTATATTTAGTAGAGACAGGGTTTTGCCATGTTGCCCAGGCTGATCTCGAACTCCTGAGCTCAAGCGATCCACCCACCTCGGCCTCCCAAAGTGCTGGGATTACAGCCACTGCACCTGGCTTGTTTTTGTCTTTAAATACCAAGTTTTAATCCCCCAAGAGGGTACACCATTCTTGGAGGTACTAAAATACCAGGTTGATGCATGGAGTGGATGGAGCAAGCTCCTATTCCGTCACTGTGCTCCAGAAATCCATTTACTCTATTAGCCTTGTATGGAAAAGTATGATATAGGAGCCACACTGAGAGAGATGATTGACAACTTGTAAATTAAATAGACTGTGCAAAACCAAAAGTGTAAAACTGGGAATGGAAAATGTTTTAAAAATATTTCTATTTGATTACAGCAGAAAACAAGCATTGAGAAAGTAAAAGAAAAAGAAAGTGACAGAATAGCAACAAATGTATAATATGTTTTTGGAAAGGGCTCTGGAAACTTCTTTGAGAAAGAAGAGTTTGATGCTGGAGCAGTTTCAGCTCAACTTTGTGTATTTTTAGCTTGGAGTAGGTCAGTAGTCTCCTCTAGCCAGTAACAAATGACCCCACTCCTCAGTGATCTTAGAAGTCTCACAGGAGTGAAGATTAGTCTGTGGAAACATCATAAATATTCACCATACTGGTAAGCTGAACATCCACATAACTTGTAGCTTTCTGTTCTCTGAAATGCTCTTGACCCACCTTGCAGACTATATCTTAATACCCTGATCAGTCATCCATAGCAGTGATAATGCTTCTTGCTTCGATGCATATTCTATTTTGGCATCCTGTAGTATCCAAAGATATTTTAAAGGCATTGCTAAAACAATAAATTACATAACTGAAGTTAACATAGTTGGTAGTACTTAGTAATATGCTTCTGTGAGATGAGGCATCTATCTTATTAATAAAGAAAGCTTGACAGGCAGTGAAATGGTAATTTTTTCTTTGTATTGTAGCATCGACTTTTGAAAACAGCTCTAACAGCATTTTAAAAGATTAATGATAGATAAAATGTTTCAGTGTTCATAAATGTGGTTTTTGTGTAAAATTTTACACATTAAAATCTGATTTGCAGTATATTCAATCTTTTCTTGGAAAGTACTTATTTGTCATTCTGCCCTTAAAATGCTTAAGCAAGATATACTATTGTTCTAATATTGGAACTGGAAGTAAGTTTTCACCTTGGTCTTCTTCTCTGATATATATTTGTTTAGATAGGGATAATTTTTCTGTCCCCTGTAGAAAAGCATATGTGTAATTATCCTTGGACTTAAATTACTATTTCATTATTTTCTGAAATGAAATATGTTACTGAGCACTCTGAATTTAAAATTGTCATTTTTATCTTTAGGCTTCCTGGAGATTCACGAACAAGAATAGGATTCATGACCTTTGATAGCACTATTCATTTCTACAATTTACAAGAAGGATTATCACAGCCTCAAATGTTGATTGTGTCTGATATAGATGGTAAGCAGTCAGTAAAATAAAAGCCTTTCTAACTACGGACTTTGAAATGGGGGCTACTTTATTTTAATATACACCTTGCTATATGCTGTGAGGATAATGTCATGCACTTTAGTATTTGTTCAAAATAATTGTTTTTCTGGAAATACTTGATTCTAAGTTATGCCTATGTATTACACACATGTATGTATAATATATACAGAGTGTGTATATTTAATAAAGCAATATTAGCTGGGCGCAGTGGCTGAAGCCTGTAATACCAGCACTTTGGGAGGCTGAGGTGGGTGGATCACCTGAGGTCAGGAGTTCGAGACCAGCCTAACTAACATGGAGAAACCCCGTCTCTGCTAAAAATGCAAAATTAGCTAGGCGTTGTGGCGCATGCCTGTAATCCCAGCTACTCAGGAGGCTGAGGCAGGAGAATCGCTTGAACCCGGGAGGTGGAGGTTGCAGTGAGCCGAGATCATGCCATTGCACTCCAGCCTGGGCAACAAGAGCAAAACTCCATCTCAAAAAAATAAATAAAATAAAGCAAAATTATAGTACACATTACATGTATGACCTGATAAAAACTAAGATTTTCTAATGTATTCTTTTGTTCGATTTGTTGATTAAAATATGTGTTTTCCCTATAGATGTTTTTCTACCTACACCGGATAGTTTACTTGTGAATCTATATGAAAGTAAAGAGGTAAGATTGATTTATTTTCTTAAAGCATAAAAATATTTATATTGTGACTGGTAACTAAAATATTTAACATTTGTTTACTTGATATATTAGTATTACAAATAATAGACAATATAAATGGCATATCTATTGACTCCTCAGTTTCCAGTCCCCAGAAATACAGTGACACATGATACACTATGGAATGTTTTAAAATAAGATTATTCCTTTGCCTTCTCAGTAATTCAATTTTTGATCTTTGTTTTCTCAGCTTATAAAAGACTTACTGAATGCATTACCAAACATGTTCACCAATACAAGAGAAACACACAGTGCCCTTGGTCCTGCACTTCAGGCTGCCTTTAAATTAATGTCTCCAACAGGTGGCCGTGTGTCTGTATTTCAGACACAGTTACCTTCCTTGGGTGCAGGACTTCTGCAATCCAGAGAAGATCCTAATCAGAGATCAAGTACAAAGGTATTTTATGTTTAGTTTTTTGTCATATTCAAGATTGTGTAATTATTTGTTTATTCTATTTCATTAATAATAAAATACTGGCAAGAGAGTTGGGTTTTTTTGTTTGTTTTTTGTTTCTTTTTTGAGACGTGGTCTCACACTGTTGCCCAGGCTGGAGCGCAGTGGCGCGATCTTGTCTCACTGCAACCTCTGCTTCCCAGGTTCAAGCGATTCTCCTGCTTCAGCCTCCTGAGTAGCTGGGATTACAGGCGTGCACCACCACACCCGGCTAATTTTTGTATTTTTAGTAGAGACGGGGGTTTCACCATGTTGGTCAGGCTGGTCTCGAACTCCTGGCCTGGTGATCCGCCTGCCTCAGCCTCCCAAAGTGCTGGGATTACAGGCATGAGCTACTGCGCCCGGCTGCCTGAGAGTTTTTTGTTTTGTTTTTGTTTTTTTTTTTTGAGACGGAGTCTTGCTCTGTCGCCCAGGCTGGAGTGCAGTGGCGCGCTCTCAGCTCACTGCAAGCTCTGCCTTCGGGTTCACGCCATTCTCCTGCCTCAGCCTCCCTAGTAGCTGGGACTACAGGCGCCTGCCACCACACCTGGCTAATTTTTTTGTGTTTTTAGTAGAGACAGGGTTTCACAGTGTTAACCAGGATGGTCTCAATCTGCTGACCTCGTGATCCGCCCACTTCAGCCTCCCAAAGTGCTGGGATTACAGGCGTGAGCCACCGTGCCCGGCGAGAGTTTTTAACTCAAATTATCTTTTTGGTTTTGTGTCACAGTATGTTCTTTTTATACTTTGTAAGTCATAGAAATTTAGAAATCATTTAGTCTAACTTTTTCATTTTATAGATGAGGAAGTAGAGTGTCTAGTTAAAGGTTAAATAACTATTTAATGGTAAAAGTGCAACTTGATTTTCTGACTCCAGTGTTCTTTTCTATTACGTAAGTGGTAAAACTTACTAAATGTAACTATTGTAATTCAACATGCTCATACTAATAAACTTTTTAATTATGAAGATAACACAGATCATTGTATAACACTTGGAAAGTGGAGAAAAGCATAAATCACCAATAATCTAACGATACTAGCATTTAGTTATACAAACATACAAATAAGCATAATTGGACATCATACGTGTGTGTGTGTATATATATGTGTGTGTGTTTGACCTTTTTCATTGGAGAATATATTGTGCGCATTCTCTGAAGTCACAGAGAAAGTAAATGTGAAAGTAATCAATTGATTGCTTTTCAGCTATTAAATAGTTGTCTTCAGTATTTTTTTCTTTTGTTTTTTAAAAGTAGAGACAACATCTTGCTGTGTTGCCCAGGCTGGCCTCAAACTGCCGAGATCAAGCAATACCCCTACCTCAGCCCTGCAAAGTGCTGGGATTGCAGATGTGAGCCAGACCTGTATTTGCACTATTTTTTTTTTAAAAAAGGGCTGGGTGTGGTAGCACCTGCCTGTTACCTTAGCTACTCAAGAGGCTGAGGCTAGAGGATCATTTGAGCTTAGGAGTTCTAAACCAGCTTGGGCAATGTAACGAGACCCTATCTTAAAAAATAACAATAATGGCCGGGTGCAGTGGCTCACACCTATAATCCCGGCACTTTGGGAGGCAAAGGTGGGTGGATCACTTGAGTTCAGGAGTTTGAGACCAGTCTGGCCAACATTGCAAAACCCCATCTCTCCTAAAAATACAAAAATTAGCTGGGTGCGGTGATGCAAGCCTGTAATCCCAGCTACTCAGATGGCTGAGGCAGGAGAATCACTTGAACCAGGGAGGCAGAGTTTGCAGCGAGCTGTGATCACTGCCACTGCACTCCAGCCTGGGCAACAGAGCGAGACCCGGTCTCAAAAAAAAAGAAAAACAATAATAATAATAACAATGAAAGGAATATACGAAGCTGAACATTACTTGGGTTTTATGTGAAGATTTGGTCAGGCATTTTTAAGCCCTATTTCAAATAATAAATGAACAAAAATATTCATTTTTCTTTTGTACAAGTTCTGTCTGGCCTTAACATATTTGAGAAAATATCATTATAAGTAGTTATGAGTATGAATTAAACAGTTTTAATAGTGTCATAAATCTTTAGCCACATATCCAGATTTGCCTTAGGATAAATTCCTAGAAGTGAAATTATTGGGTTAAAGGGCATAATCTTTAAGTTATTAAATAAAGAATGTTTTGTTTATTTGGGTTTTTTAATCAACTTCTCTTCTTAAGGACTCTCATCCTGTAACCACCATTAAGTAGCATTGCTTTTTTTATTCTTCACCAATATGCTAGAGAAAAAAAGGCACCATATTTCACCCTTTATAGAAATTGTATTTTAAAATTGCATTTGAGAAGGAAGCTAATTTTAAAATAAGTATGTATTTTAAACTCATCAACAAGTGTAGCTGGCATTTAGTTCGTTGACCCATTACAATCCATTATAAATTACTGTGGTGTTTTGAACACAGGAAGCTGATATATATTTACTGAATCCTTTGATAGAGCTTTGTTTTGATTTGTTTTGTTTTCTCATTTAACTTTCAAAAATATTCTCTATCTGTCTGCCTAGGACTCTAAAGTTTCAGTATCTGTTCTGGTTTACATATTCCTTCATATCCTTAATTCCTTATATTAGAGTAAGCTCTAATATAATCATCATACAGTGTAATTAAGAGGATTGAAACTTTTTTTTAGGAAATGTTGTATGATGATTAAGAACTTGGAGACTCTCTCCAGTGTCACCTTCTCAGCTCAAGTCTTCTCATACCAAAAGAAACACCTTCCTTAATCTTTTACTCTCTTAAGTTATTTAACAATATTTAATAATGGTTAACAGCACTCATTCTGCAGCCAGATTTCTTGGGTTGATATTCCAATATCCACTTCTCAATATCTATGTAATCTTGGTCAAGTTACTTAATCAGTTATTGCCTCAGTTTCTTCGTCTGAAAATGTAGATGATAAAAACCATATGAGATGTGTTATGAAAATTAATTTGTGTGAAACAGTGCTGGCACATAAGTGTTTTTTATAAAGATTATCTATCATTATTATTATCATAGGGAATCTGCACCAAATGCCTAGACATTTAGAAAACTCTTAGTTTGGTAGGGAGGCAGAGGATATCCTTTTTGTTATAAAAATGACATGAAAATATGAGCATAAAGATTGCTAGCTCTTACTATATGATCTGTTGACTTAGGTGGTACAACATCTTGGCCCTGCAACTGATTTTTATAAGAAACTTGCATTAGATTGCTCGGGACAGCAAACTGCAGTGGATTTGTTCCTTTTAAGTTCACAGTATTCTGATCTTGCTTCTCTAGGTAAGGAAAGTCATCATGGGTACATTTGTTTAAATGAACATTTTTAATGCATAATTAAATCTAAACTCTTCAGTAAGCATTCTCTATATTTTAGGGAGAAAAGCATGTGCATTAGATAGACAATATCTATGAAAACTACCAGTAAAGTTTAAAGCACTATACAAATATAAAATGTCACTTGTATTTTGTTTAGATAGCATGATTCCCTTACCATTCTGCTCAACAGTAAACTTTATCATATATTTTATAGATATTACTGTTTTCTCAGATTTGTATGTTCTTATTTTGATGGCTTAGGTTTTCTCATGACTTAGATTTCTTCATAATGTAGAATCTGTACTACTGTTGGACAAGTAAAATATTATTATTTCTATAGCTAATACTTTTTGTATTTCTCTCTAAAGCTTGCATGTCCAAGTATTCTGCAGGGTGCATCTATTATTATCCATCATTCCACTATACTCACAATCCTTCACAAGCAGAAAAGTTACAAAAAGACCTAAAACGGTATCTCACAAGAAAAATTGGGTTTGAAGCTGTTATGAGAATAAGGTGTACTAAAGGTATGAAGTTGTAAAAGTTATATTTTATATTAAATACTTGTATCAAAGTCAGTGAGCATTCCATGTATTGACTACCTCTGACTGTTCATGATGGAAGACTGTTTGATCTCATTAGCTATACCATGTTTTAAATAGATAATAGTTATTGAATAATCCTTGCCCAATTTTTAAAAATAACTTGAATAAGTAGACAAAAGTAATGTTTGATTTACTCAGAAGAACCTAAGAGAAAGCCTATATTAGAAATGATTTTAGAAGGAGAATTAGAGGAATAGGGAAGATCTTAAATAAGAATTGTCAAAGTAAGGGTCTTTGCCTTCATAATCATTTAATGTACACTTCCTTGGTTTTATGTGAATATTTGTTTTAATCCTTTATTTTACCTTTATTTTAAATCTAGGATGAGTTATATAATAACCCTCATTTGCTTAATTTTGTAAATTAAATGTTTAGTCAGATTATGTCTGACTTCAAGTCACATGTGAGAAAATGTAAATAAGGTTAGGTGTCAATACAAGTGAAATGTATAGTCTCCCTTTTATATAACGTCCACTAGTTTTTTTGAATTAATATTTTAGAAACTCTGCCTATGCTTGAACCTTGACTCCCCAGTTATCCTTTTGATTCAAAATCATAAACATCTTTGACTTAAAAAAGTAACTTTAGCTTGAGGTGAAGATACTATTGTTAACTTGATTTTTTATGATTTTCTCCTTTTTAGGTCTTTCAATGCACACTTTTCACGGTAACTTCTTTGTCCGTTCTACTGATTTGTTATCCCTTGCCAACATCAATCCTGATGCTGGATTTGCGGTGCAGTTGTCAATTGAAGAAAGTTTAACAGATACTTCCTTAGTATGTTTTCAAACAGCCCTATTATATACATCAAGCAAAGGTAATGTTAACAGAAATGAAATATAGTCTGCAGCAGTAATTCCTCCCTCCTTTCACATGGCCTTTAGTGGAGTGGGGAAAAAGAATGAATACACAGTGGGAAGTAATGGAATTTGTATTAGTTAATCAAACATATGTTGTTATTTTCTTTCTTTTTTTAACTCTCACTTTTGCATCTTTAAATAGCACACTTTTTTAATTTATGGAAGACTTGTATTCTTAGAATCTTGTTTCAAAACAGTTCATGCTAAATCCAGCTATGCCATTCTTTGTATTATTTCTTGCCCCAAAAAGTAAAAAACTGCTTAGCAATTAAGGCCTTCATTTGTTACTTGACAGTTAAGTTTTCTGGTATTTTACTCTATAGGATATAATTTAGAATGAGTGATATAGCGTATGTTCATACTCTGCAGATTTGGAGAGTGTTTAATTTTCTTTTAAAAATGTTCATTGTAAAACTTGGTTTTTACATCTCAAAATCCTGTTGGTGATGTAATCTAGCCAAAACAATAACTTGAATAAAAATTCGACTTGTGGCTGGATGTGGCGGTGGCTCACGCCTGTAATCCCAGCACTTTGGGAGGCCGAGGTGGGTGGATCACCTGAGGTCAGGAGTTCCAGACCAGCCTGGCCAACCTGGTGAAACCCCATCTCTACTAAAAATACAAAAATTAGCTGGGTATGGTGGCAGGCACCTGTAATCCCAGCTACTTGGGAGGCTGAGGCAGGAGAATCACTTGAACCTAGGAGACAGAAGTTGCAGTGAGCTGTGATCACACCATTGCACTCCAGCCTAAGAGACAGAGCAAGACTCCGTCTCAAAAAAAAAAAAAAGAAAGAAAGAAAGAAAAAAAGTATTTGACATGTTTGCTTTGCTTTATTTCCTTTTTGATCTAATGTATTTTCAATGACTTTTTTTTTAGGTGAGCGGAGAATTAGAGTACATACACTTTGTTTGCCAGTGGTAAGTTCACTAGCAGATGTATATGCGGGAGTGGATGTACAAGCTGCCATCTGCCTTCTGGCAAACATGGGTGAGTAAA